>NC_000010.11:18797878-18949393 GCF_000001405.40 Homo sapiens | reverse complement strand
AAGAAGTTATTTAAAGAGAAGAAAAATAATATATGTCAGAAACTTGGAACAACATAAAAAAAGAAGAACACTGGAGAAAGAAGAAGGTAAAATATAAACTTTTATTTTTCTTATTTTTAATTGAGTGAACAGACACTAGATTATTCAAAATAATAATGGAAACAATGTGTTCAATTACATGTGTTTTTATGTGTGTTTTATAAATTAAAATATATAACTATATTATATATAATTATATGCAAATTATATATAATGACATATGTGCAATATAGTTATACATACATAATACGTACTCCTACATAATTTATATATACTAATATATTATTTATAAGTTATAATAACCATAATTACATATATGTGTATATACTTATGTATCCTTATGCATAAATAAAATGTATAAGTGAAATGAAAACAGTGATGATACAAGGGATGGAAGGGAGGAATTCGAATTATTTTGTTATTATAAGGCACTTACACTACCCACAAAGAAGTATATTTGGATTAGTTGTAAATGCATACTGTGAACTCACGGGCAACAACAAAATATAAGTATATATATATATATATATATATATATATATATATATATTTATAATGAGAAAGAAAAAATGGAATCATGTGAAATACTCAATTAAAGCCAAAATAAGCATAAAAACAGAAGAAGACAAAAATAGGAACAAAGAATAATGGCAGCAAATATAAAACAGTAATGAAGACAGTAGATATTAATCTAGCTATATCAATAATCACTGAACACTAATAATTGAAATATACCAATTAAAAGACAGAGATTGTCAGAGTGGATCAGAAAACAATAACCAACTATATGCTACCCATTTTAAATATAAAGACATATATTGATTAAAAATAAGTGGATGTGGAAAGATAAACCATGCTAACACTAATGAAAAAAAAGTAGAAGTAGCTATATTAATTTCAGATACAGCAGATTTCAGAGCAAGGAAAGTTATCAGAGATAAGCGGGGCATTGGCAAATCAAACTCAAAATGTATTTGAAAAATTACATACCAGGACCAAGTGGGATTTATCCCAGTTATGCAAGGTTGATGGAACATTTGAAAATCAATTAATATAATCCAATATCTCAACAGACTGAAGAAGAAAAGTTACATGACTATATCAATAGATACAGAAAAAGCATTTGACAAAACCTAACACTCATTCATGAAAAAACCTCTCAGTAAACTAGGACTTATCTACAAAAAAATATACAGCTAACATCCTATTTAATGATGACAAAGTAGAAGCTACTGATAACAGTATAGACTGAGGTCTTGCTAAGATCAGGAACAAGGCAAGAATGCTACATTTCGCCACTGCTTTTCCACATTGTACTGGAAATCCTAGCTAATGCAATAAGACAAGTAAAAGAAATAAAATCTATACAGTTGGGAAGATAGAATTCAAACTGTCTTTTTTGATAGAGGACATGATTATGTAGAAAAGCAAAACAAAAACAAAAACAACAAAACCTTCTGGAACTAAAAAGTAATGATAACAAGTTTGCAGAATACAAGGTTAACATACAGAAGTCAATTGCTTTCCTATATGCCAACAATGAACAAGTAGGATTTGACATTAAAAACACACTACCATTTACATTAGCCTCAAAAGATACAATACTTAATTATAAATCTAACAAAATATGTACAAGACCTATATGAGGAAAACTATAAAATTCTGATAAAAGACATCAAAGAACTAAAAATGGATAGGAAGACAATATTGTCAAGATGAGTTCTTCCCAACGTGATCTAGAGATTCAATGCAACTTCAATAAAAATCCCATCAAGTCGTTTTGTGGATATTGACAAACTGATTCTAAAGTTTATACAGAGGCAAAAGACCAGAATAGCTAACAAAATATTGAAAAACGAGAATAAAGTCAGACAAGTGACAGTATCAGAATTCAAGACTTACTATAAAACTACATTAAGCAAGACCATGTGGCATGGACAAAACAACAGACAAACTGGTCAATGGAACAAAATAGAAGCACCCAGAAATAGACCTACATAAATATGGTCAACTGATCTTTGATAAAGAGTCAAAGGCAATACCATGGAGAAAATACAGGGTTTTGTTTTTTTTCCTCCAGCAAATGATGCCAGATGAACCAGACATGCACATGTTAAAAAAAAAAAAAAAAGACCTAGACACACAATTTCCACACTTCACAAAAATTAACTCAAAATAGATTATAAACAGAAGTGTAAGATGTGAAACTACCAAACACCTAGAAGATAGCATATGGGAAAATATAGATGACCTTGGGTTTGGCAATGACTTTTTAGAGACAATACAAAAGGCACAATCCATGAAAGAAAGAATTGCTAAGCTGAACTTCATTAAAATTAAAATTTTCTGTCCTGCAAAAGAAATTTTCAAGAGAATGAGAAGACAAGTCACAGACTGAGAGAAAATATTTGCAAAACAAAACATATCTGCTAAAGGACTAATACCAAAATGTACAAAGGATGCTTAAAACTCAACAAAAAGAAAACAAGCAACCTGATTATTAACTGGGCCAAAGACTTAACAGACACATTATCAAAGAAAATAGATGATTAATAAGTATATTAAAAGATTTTCTGTATCATATGTCATCAAGGAAATGCAAATTAAAACAACAAGGTGATATCACTACATGTCTATTAGAATGGCCAAAATCCAGATACTGAGACCACCAATGCTGTCAAGGATGTGGAGCAACAGGAAAACTCCTTCATTGCTAGTGGGAATGAAAATGGGTGCAGCAATTTCAGAATACAGTTTGGCAATTTTCTACAAAAATAAACATACTATTACATATGATCCATAGTTGAAAATTTATGTTCACACAAAAACATACACATGGATATTTATAGCAATTTTGTTCATAATTGCCAAAACTTGGAAACCACCAAGTTGTACTTCAGTAGAATGAGTAAATAAACTGTAGTATATCCAGACAATGGAACTTTATTCCGCACTAAAAAGCAATGAGTTTCCAAGCCATGAAGAGACATGGAGGATCTATAAGTGCACATTACTAAGTGAAAGAAGACAATCGAAAAGACTACATTCTATATGATTCCAAGTATATGATATTCTGGATAATACAAAACTAAGGCAGTGAAAACATCAGTGGTGTTTAGGCATTTGCAGGATTAATAGAACACAAACTATTTTTATAGCAATGAAACTACTCTGTCTAATACCATAATGGTGGATGTACGTCATTATAGATTTATCCAAACCCATGGAATATATAACACCAAGAGTGAAGCCTAATGGGAACTATGGACGCTGGGTGATAATGACATTGTCAATGTAGGTTCATCAGTACAATAAATGTACTACCCTAGTGGGGGATGTTGATATTGGAGGAGGCTGTAGCTGTGTCAGAGATGAGAGTTTATGGGAACTCTTTATGCCTTCTGCTCAGTTTTGCTGTAAATCTAAAACTCCTCTAAAGAATAAAGTTTGACTTTAAAAAGTGCTGACAGGAAAAAAATAGAAAATGTTAACAGAAAGTAGAGTTGGTGCTTGAGTGGTGGCTCACAGCATGGTGGACAGAGAATTCTTCAACGAAATAGTATCAAGGTGCATCAGTAACAATACAGACTGAGATGACCTGAATTACTCTTTTCACTATAAGCAACTAGGAATTCTGGACAATTTACAAAAATGGTCTAAAGGACTAATAAAAAATACTAGTCAAGCCTGTAATCGCAGCACTTTGGGAGGCCGAGGCAGATGGATCACTAGGTCAGGAGATCGAAACCATCCTGGCTAACACAGTGAAGCCCTGTCTCTACTAAAAATACAAAAAATTAGCCAGGCGTGGTGGTGGATGCCTGTAGTCCCAGCTACTCAGGAGGCTGAGGCAGGAGAATGGCGTAACCCGGGAGGCGGAGCTTGCAGTGTGCCGAGATCGTGCCACTGCACTCCAACCTGGGTGACAGAGGGAGACTCTGTCTCAAAAAAGCAAAAAATTACTAGTCAAATTCAAGATATAGAAAGGAAACTCTCAAGACTGTATCAAGTTAATGTATTTAATTTACACCACTATCACGTGAGATGGGTTGCTATTACTATCCTCATTTTACATGTGAATAAACTGGGGCACAGAAAAATTGAATAAATATCCCAAGGTGACCCTAATGGGTCTGCTGGTTATCAGAGCCAGGATTTGAACCCTGATATATTGGCTCAGAAGACTATACTTTTGAATGCTGAACAGTAAACCTCTCTCTTGCTAACTGGTAAAGCACAGCACTCCAGCCTGGGTGACAGAGTGAGACCCTGTCTCAAAAAAATAAATGAATAATTTTTCGAGTATAGGACATTACCCTACTTTTATTCTTTGGATAAGTGACTCTCAATAGTCATGATTTTCTACCTTTCTTTTCTAAGCAATTATGATGAATTTAATGTATAATCATTTTTCTGATCACATTTTCTTGTAGCCCCAAAAGAAAGACTGAATAAATAGAAAACATATAGAACTGGGCCGGGCGCGGTGGCTCACACCTGTAATCCCAGCACTTTGGGAGGCCGAGGCGGACGGATCACGAGGTCAGGAGATCGAGACACGGTGAAACCCTGTCTGTACTAAAAATACAACAAAACAAATTAGCCGGGTGTGGTGGCGGGCGCCTATAGTCCCAGCTGCTCGGGAGGCTGAGGCAGGAGAACGGCGTGAACCCGGGAGATGGAGCTTGCAGTGAGCCGAGATCACGCCACTGCACTCCAGCCTGGGCGACAGGGCGAGACTCCGTCTCAAAAAAAAAAAAAAAAAAAAAAAAAAAAAAAAAAAAATATATATATATATATATATATATATATAGAACTGTATTATTTCTAAGAAGAGTATAAAACTCTAGAAATTTCTCTTAAAATAACATCATTTTCTATTAATACATTCTTGGCAATTTTGATTATCAGCATTTATAACTAAAAGTACTATAATCCTTTATTTAAAATAGAGGATTAAAAAATATTTTGTATAAAAACTACACCCACCTAAATTTAATTATTTTGAACACTTCCAAATGTGTAAAAGTGAAAAAAATCATGTAATTATAAAATCAGTAACATTAGGTAAGTTCTAAAACCTGTCCAGAGTGCCAAAGTCACAATTTAGAAGAAAGTTAAAAAACTTTTAAACTATTATGATTTTTCAAGTACAGATATTGTACTGCATATTTATTGGGTTCTAGCTACTCACAGTCATTTCACTTTCTTTGATAATAACAACTGAATTTCCTTTTGTGGAGTTATTTCTTCTGTATTTTGATATTGTCAGAAGGAATTTTAATCAATGTATCTTGCCACCCCTTAGACAAAGGGTGGGAATTTAAATCCACAACATGATACTCTATCCCTGTATTTTGAATCTTGAGAAGTGTTAAGAAAAGACTGGAGCTGGTCAAAACTTATTTATTACAGCTGTGGTGACCAGGGCATACTGTTCCTACCTGGTCTAATTTATAGTTGCTGCTACTAGCTCTTCTAGTCTCCATACATTGCCAGACCCAGTTCTTCAAACTTTCCATCAATTTGTCAGCTTTGAGATTTTCTTTATTCTGCTCTTAAGTTTCTTTCTTTCTTTTTTTTTTTTTTTAGGTTTGCCAAGTTTGTTTCTGTTGCTTGCAACTGGAACAGTCCTGTTTGAACCAACACTTGAAAATAGATATTTCAGTGGATTATAATGATAATAATGAAATCATCATTTACTAAGAGGAAACACAGAAATTACTCAAAAAATAATATTACATCCATACCATGATCAAAGTATGATATTGGTTAGGAAACCCAGAGTGACTACAGAAGTCAGAGGCAGCTTATAAAGGAAGAACAAAGTCCTAGATAGTGAGAAAGAAGCGACTCAAGTCATAGACTGCAGGATGAGGATGACCAGGCAGCCACATGAAATCAATAGGGCTTAAGGAACTCGAAATTGACTGTAGGAGCAATACTCTGGAAAAGTATTACAGCTCAATCATTTCTAAACTCCAACACACCTAAAGGATGTTAAAAGAGATTCAGTTTCAAAAATCTAATGTCAATATCATTTTACTTTTCAAGTCTAAAATTTGTCAGACTGTCTGTAAACTTCATAAAAGTAGCAATGTGATTTTGAATTCATTGTAAGGAAAAACAGAAATATACATATGCCAAATTCATCTTTGTCATAATACATTTGCTCCTTAGGTACGTATAGGAAACTTACAGTCAATTATTGATAACCTTTACATTTGCAGTAGCATAGACAGTCACAGTGGTCACAGTAATCGAGGTCAATATTCTGTTTTTCTTGCAAGAGTTTTTTTTTTTAAGATAGCAATTAATGTGATTTGATTTTCCTGATTTTTGATGATCGACTTTTACTAAAGGGAGCAAGGGACATGCAAGGAAGGAACGACAAAATGGAAGAAGCATGAAAAATTCACAAACTGTACAACCATCTGCTGCAAATTGAGAGTTGCCTGTAAAATGGCACTCAGTTGTAGAGGAAGAAAAATTAAACGGAAAAGGGAATTATTCAAATAATCATGTAGTTGCTATGGCCACATAGCTGTGATGACCATATGGCATTGTCTCCTACTCATACGGAAGTCTCTGAACAAACAATACAACCAAATGTTTAGTCCTGGTTGAAGATTAAGTCCTTAGTATGGCATGACAGAAATGTCACGATTCCTCTTGTTGGTTTTATGAGTCTGGCTTTGTAAAGTTAAAGATTCTGAAAACTATTTTTATTGTTTTGCAGACCCAATTCAGTTAGAACAGAAGTTCAATTGTCATCCTATCTCAATCTTATAGTCTTAAAGAAAATTTCTTCAAAAATATTATATCAGCTGCTTTCTGCAATTGAAACATATTTTCTTAAGAGACAACATAATCTTGAAAAGGTAATGAGAGGGCACTTCTACCCAAGCAGAAGAACAGATGAGGACTATTTACTCCCTACATCTACATGGATGACATTTAGACAATGTGTTGAAAAGTAATTGAACAAAAATGGAAACAAATAGGCCTTTTATTTCAGAACCTTTCCCTCAAAAATGGTCAGGAGAAGGAAGTAAGATAGAAAAGCCAATAGTCATTCAAAGACATTGATGCATAACCAAACTGTGAAATATTTTTATTCACAGAAGCATCTAGTTTTTTTCTCCTAAATTGAAAATCATAATTCTGAACCTTATGTAGATATCTATGGCACAGATTTTTTTAATATTTCAGTTGAGAAATTATTCTAGCAAAACTCACATTCTTCTGATTTCTGCCTTTCAACACATCCCAAAAGGTATAATGTTATCTTACAGTGTCTTAGATGTTCCCTCCAGATTGAAATTCTAAGGTCCTTTCTTTTTATTAACAAGAAACTCCCAACCAACAGAGAAAACTACATTTATTCTTATATTCTAGAGTTTGGTGGGGAAAAGCTTCCAAGTTCGATTAAGTTGAACATTTCCTTTGAAGATATCCAAATCAATGCAATCCTGCAGAAAAGAAATTCCTCACTGATTTCATTATTCTAGAGCAGAGATCACCAAGCTCTTACTGTACATGGTTAGAGAGGAAGTATTTCAGACATCGTGAGCCACCCAGTCTCAGTCATAGCTACACAATTCTGCTGTTTTCATATGAAAGCAGCCATGGATTTGACTCCCAAGGCACAGCGTGTCAATCCCTGTCCTAGAGTATTATGGTGTTACAACATCCATCAAACCACGTTGAACTGGATATTTGCCGTTTAAATAAGTTGAGCAGAATATTTCCACAAGAAGAACCAATAGAATTTAAGAGTCAATAATTTCACCTGTTTTTTTCTGATAAGGAGGTCACCTATATTATTTCAATAAAGGGGTAAACTCTTACTTTTTAGGCGGGCTAGTTCCAAGTTATCTTTGTTAGGATATATTATTTCTTTCAGGTGGACTAAGGCAAGATTTCTGCCCTTAAAATTAAGTCTGATGGATAAAGTATTATATATTATATATACACTAAATGTAAATATATATAATATATAATATTCCATTGCATATATATATAGTCTGATGGATAAATTTTTATATATCACAATATATAAATATATGTATAATATTCCATTGTGTGTATGTGTATATATATACATATATATACATATATATACACATATATATTTTTAACAGATTTTTCTCTTTTTAATAAGAGAAAATAAAAGAAATTTTTATAAATCACAATATATAAATATATGTATAATATTCCATTGTGTGTATGTATATGTATATATATATATATATATATATATATATATACATACACACATATATTTTTAACAGATTTTTTTTCTCTTTTTAATATTCTTTCCAAAAGTGACCAGTGTTGCTGAGTGACTCAAGTAACTGGTGGCTTTTCCTGTGCAGCTGGCTTCTGGGGACTGTTCAGGTAAAGTTGGAAGATGATGCAGAAACAGCATTATTGGTCTGTTCACGGTCTCCAGCACTAGCATCGGTGGCTGCTGTGGCATTTGTGGGGATTGAAACAGCTGCTTGAATCCAAGCATGAGGAGGCATAAGGATGGTAGCCAGAGGTAGATTAGTTGGCAGTTCTTGAGTGGTGAAGTTGAACAGTGGAGGTGTGTCTCACCCATTTGGTAGTTTGACATTTGGATCCTGTAATTCATGAAAAAACGAATGTGCACAAACTTCCAGTGGTGCCAGTCGAGAGTTGATGTATACTCCAGCAGACGGCTACACAGTGCAATTGCTTCCAGTGGAGTTCAGGGTCAGAAGACTATAGTCCAAGGATGTGTCTTAATTTGAGGGAATTTAAATTCTGTGTAGTTTGGGTTCACTTCTCTAATTTGCTCCCTTGTTGGAGTTCCCAGGTCCTTGATTATTACATATATGTATACAGAACACACACACAATGGAATACTATTTGGCAATAAAAAGAAATGAAGCATTGAAACATATTACAAGTTGTCTGATCCTCAAAAACATTATACTAAGTAAATGAAGCCAGATGCAAAAGACATATATTGCATGAATCTTATTATATGAAATATCCAAAACAGGCACATCTATAGAAAAAGAAAGCAGATCAGTGGTTGTCATATTATGGGTCAAAGGGGATAATGGGTAAGAATAACATAATGGAAAAAAAAAAGAATAACATAATGGGTATGAGGTGTTCTTGGGAGGTGATGAAATAATTTTGGAACTAGACAGTGATGGTGGTTGCACAACATTGTGAGTGCAGTCCCTGAAATTGTACACTTTAAATGGAATTTGAAGTGTACAATTGGAATTTAAAGTATACAATTGCCCTAGAATTGTACAATTTAAATGGCTAATTGTATGTTATGTGAATTTCACCTCAATTATTTTTAAAATGTCTGTTGCCTAAGTCTGCCTTTTAGCTTAAAAACTTCGAGCCTATGCAATGCAAATATTCCTTGTAGCATTGCTCTTATAATTTATTTATAGTGTCATTCTTTAAATAAATGTATACTGTGTTCTCTCACAGACTTGGCACTGGAGACACAGTGGTAACAGACAGTACCTTTGCCCTCATGAAAGTGACAAACTAGAGGTAATAGACATCATATAAGTAAGTAGAGTTCTATAAAGTATATTATATATTCTATGGATAGAGGAACATATAAAAAATTGATAACACAGACTTATTCTCATGTGGGAAGAAGACCATTGAGGTGTAGGTAAAGTTAGGGTAACGTTTCCCAAATACACTAAAGGATTTGTAAGAGCTCACCAGACCAATGGGCTAGGAGCAGCCTATGGAAAGGTGTGCAGCAAAACAGATGCAAGTGGGCCCGTAGTTTGCCAAGGAGAACATGGACCTCTCAACACCAGGCTGGAGAAGAGACAGGAGCCAGTTCATGCAGCACGTGTGTGATGCTTTAATGATTTCTGTCTATATACTAACATCAACAGGAAGACACTCCAGGATACAGGCTGCTTTTTAAATGATCTCTGTGACTGTGTGTTCTGGACTGGGGAAGAACAAGAGATGATGTGAAAAGACACATGAGGAAACTATTGCAAAGAAGTTACGGGAAGGTAAAATGTTCATAACCAAATGAATGATATATACCTCCATTGGCAATAAAGGACCAAATACTTCATTTCTATTGTCCAAAAGGATCTTTCATGGCCCAAAAGGCTGTTATATAATATGACCTGCAAATTGTAGCATCAACTAAATTAAGCTTCTGTATACATTGAATTAAAATGCAATGCTTTCAGTTCTTCTGTACTTTCATGGTGGCTTAATCTTGATCATATTCCATGTCAGAATTTCCCTACCCAAAGTAAACTTCCAGAAAACAAAGATTAATTTTAAGAGTTCAGGTGAAGAAGTTGACAGCTCCTTAAAACTCTTTAATTCTGAAAATAAATGAAAATAATTAATTTTTCAAAAAGAGATTATTACAAGAAACAGGTAGAGATCTTGCTGATTCCAACTAGAATGGAAGAAATAGTATGTACTGGTGTAAAATATTTAAAAATATTTAGCAGGAGAAATTACCAGGTCTTAGTCAGTGTTGGTGTATGATTATGGAACAGGATAATAAATGGGACCTTTTCTCTTTTCTGGTTCTACCTTCTCCCCCACATTGATTAGACTCTAATCAATATGGCTTTCACCAGAAATTCCCAACTCCAGCCCCCTCTATCTGTCAAGGTCAGCAATGGAAAACTCCCAACCCCAGCCCCTTCTACTCTTCCTAACTCTCCTAAAAGGGGAAGACGTGTAGAAGGCTGAGAAGCACTTGTGAAGGTCACAGCATAGAGAAACAGGCTTACCAAAAGACTGAGACCTAATCGTAGAATTATAGAATGTTCTTTCTGCCCCCACACCTTGCCAACACATCAATCAGGTTCCTGTATGATAACTGAGATTATAGCTAAAAGAACTGGAAACCTCAAATCCTATTTAAGAAGCAGTTTCTAGGGAAACCCAAAGACAAAAAAGGACACAATAATAAAGACAACAGAGGAAATTTTACTTTCTCCGACCTACAACTACAGCAAACAGTAGACACAGCTCAACTTCTAGCTAGATAAATATAAAAGCTTAGGCTAAAAGCCTATTGACCTCAGATCAATTTAATGAAATAAAGTGTGAAGACAAGATTAGAGAAAAAAGAAAGAAAAGGAATGAACAAAGCCTCTAAGAAATATGGGACTATGGGAAAAGACCAAACCTACGTTTGATTGGTGTACCTGAATGTGACGGGAAGAATGGAACCAAGTTGGAAAACACACTCCAGGATATTATCCAAGAGAACTTCCCCTACCTAGCAAGACAGGCTAACATCCAAATTGAGGAAATACAGAGAATACGACAAAAATACTCCTCGAGAAGAGCAACCCCAAGACACATAATCGTCAGATTCACCAAGGTTGAAATAAAGGAAAAAATGTTAAGGGCAGTCAGAGAGAAATGTCAGGTTACCCTCAAAGGGAAGCCCATCAGACTAACAGCGGATCTCTCTGCAGAAACCCTACAAGCCAGAAGGGAGTGGGGGCCAACATTCAACATTCTTAAAGAAAAGAATTTTCAACCCAGAATTTCATATACAGCCAAACTAAGCTTCACAAGTGAAGGAGAAATAAAATCCTTTACAGAAAAGCAAATGTTGAGGGATTTCATCACCACCAGCCCTCCCTTACAAGAGCTCCTAAAGGAAGCACTAAATATGGATAAGAAAAACTGGTACCAGCCACTGCAAAAACAAACCAAAATGTAAAGACCATCGACATTATGAAGAAACTGCATCAACTAATGGGCAAAATAACCAGCTAGCATCATGATGACAGGATCAAATTCACACATAACAATATTAACCTTAAATGTAAAAGGCACAGACTGGCCAATTGGATAAAGAGTAAAGACCCATCGATGTGCTGTATTCAGGAGACTTGTTTCACATGCAAAGACACAGGCTAAAAATAAAGGGATAAAGAAAGATTTACTAAGCAAATGGAAAGCAAAAAAAAAAAAAAAAAAAAGCAGGGGTTGCAATCCTACTCTCTGATAAAACAGACTTTAAACTTTAAACCCACAAAGATCAAAAAAGACAAAGAAGGTCATCACATAATGGTAAAGGGATCAATGCAACAAGAAGAGCTAACTATCCTAAATATATATGCACCAAATACAGGAGCACCCAGATTCATAAAGCAAGTTTTGAGAGACATACAAAGAGATTTAGACTCCCACACAATAATAGTGGGAGACTTTAACACCCCACTGTCAATATTAGATAAAGCAATAAGACAGAAAATTAACAAGAATATTCAGGACTTGAACTCAGCTCTGCACCAAGCAGACCTAATAGACATCTATAGAACACTCCATCCCAAATCAACGGAATATACATTCTTCTCAGTACCACATAGCACTTATTCTAAAATCGACCACATAATTGCAAGTAAAACACTCCTCAGCACAAGCAAAAGAAAAGAAATCATAACAAACAGTTTCTCAGACCACAGTGCAATCAAATTAGACTTCAGGATTAACAAACTCACTCAAAACCGCACAACTACATGGAAACTGAACAACCTGCTCCTGAATGACTACTGGGTAAATAACAAAATGAAGGCAGAAATGAATAAGTTCTTTAAAACCAATGAGAACAAAGACACAACGTACCAGAATCTCTGGGACACAGCTAAAGCAGTGTTTAGAGGGAAATTTATAGCACTAAATGCCCAGGGAAAGATCTAAAATCGACGCCCTAACATTACTATTAAAAGCACTAGAGAAACAAGAGCAAACAAATTCAAAACCTAGCAGAAGATAAGAAATAACTAAGATCAGAGCAGAACTGAAGGAGACAGGGACACGAAAAACACTTCGAAAAATCAGTAAATCCAGGAGCTAGTTTTTTTTAAAAGGTTAACAAAATAGATAGACCGCTAGCCAGACTATAAAGAAGAAAAGATAGAAGAATCAAATAGATACAATAAAAAATGATAAAGGGGTATTACCACTGATCCCACAAAAATACAAATGACCATCAGAGAATACTATAAACACCCCTACACAATTAAACTAGAAAATCTAGAAGAAATTTATAAATTCATGGACACATACACCCTCCCAAGACTAAACCAGGAAGAAGTCAAATCCCTGAATAGACCAATAATAAGTTCTGAAATTGAGGCAGTAATTAATAGCCTACCAACCAAAAAAGCCCAGGACCAGATGGATTCACAGCCGAATTCTACCAGAGATATAAACAGGAGCTGGTACCATTCCTTCTGAAACTATTCCAAACAATAGAAAGAGAGGGAATCCTCCATAATTCATTTTATGAGGCCAGCATCATTCTGATACCAAAACCTAGCAGAGACACAACAACAAAAAAAGAAAATTTCAGGCCAATATCTCTGAAGAATATTGATGCGAAAATCCTCAATAAAATACTGCTAAACCAAATCCAGCACTTAATCAAAACGCTTGTCCACCACGACCAAGTCGGCTTCATCCCTGGGATGCAAGGCTGGCTCATCATATGCAAATCAATAAACATAATCCATCACATAAACAGAACCAATGACAAAAACCACATGATTATCTCAATAGATGCAGAAAAGGGCTTCAATAAAATTCAACACCCCTTCATGCTAAAAAACACTCAATAAGGTAGGTATGGATGCAACATATCTCAAAATAATAAGAGCTATTTATGACAAACCCATGGCCAATATCATACTGAATGGGCAAAAGCTGGAAGCATTCCCTTTGAAAACTGGCAAAAGACAAGGATGCCCTCTCTCACCACTCCTATTCAACATAGTATTGGAAGTTGTGGCCAGGGCAATCATGCAAGAGAAAGAAATAAAGCGTATTCAAATAGAAAGAGAGAAAGTCAAATTATCTCTATTTGCAGATGACAAGATTGTGTATCTAGAAAACCCCATCATTTCAGCCAAAAATTCCTTAATCTGATAAGCAACTTCAACAAAGTCTCAGGATACAAAATCAATGTGCAAAAATCACAAGCATTCCTATACACCAGTAATAGACAAACAGAGAGCCAAATCATGAGCAAACTCCCATTCACAATTGCTACAAAGAGAATAAAATACTTAGGAATCCAACTTACAAGGGATATGAAGGACCTCTTCAAGGAGAACTACAAACCACTCCTCAAGGAAACAAGAGAGGACACAAACAGATGGGAAAACATTCCATGCTCATGGACAGGAAGAATCAGTATCGTGAAAATGGCCATACTGCCCAAAGTAATTTATAGGTTCAATGCTATTCCCATCAAGCTACCATTGACTTTCTTTTAAATTTCATATGAAACCAAAAAAGAGCTTGTATAGACAAGACAATCCTAAGCAAAAAGAACAAAGCTGGAGGCATCATGCTGCCTGACTTCAAACTATGCTACAAGGCTACAGTAACCAAAACAGCATGCTACTGGTACCAAAACAGATATATAGACCAATGGAACAGCACAGAGGCCTCAGAAATCACACCACACATCTACAACCATCTATTCTTTGACAAACTTGACAAACACAAGCAATGGAGAAAGGATTCCCTATTTAATAAATGGTGTTGGGAAAACCAGCTAGCCATAGGCAGAAAACTGAAATTGGACCCCTTCCTTACACCTTATACAAAAATTAAGTCAAGATGGATTAAAGACTTAAATGTAAGACCTAAAACCATAAAAACCCTGGAAGAAAACCTAGGCAATACCATTCAGGACATAGGCATGGGCAAAGACTTCATAACTAAAACACCAAAAGTAATTGCAACAAAATCCAAAATTGACAAATAAGATTTAATTAAACTAAAGACCTTCTGCACAGCAAAAGGAACCATCATCAGAGTGAATAGGCACCCTACAGAATGGGAGATAATTTTTGCAATCTATCCATCTGACAAAGGACTAATATCCAGAATCTACAAGGAACTTAAATTTACAGGAAAAAAGCAACCCCATCAAAAAGTGGGCAAAGGATATGAACAAACAGTTTCCAAAGGAAGACATTTATCTGGCCAACAAACACATGAAAAAATGCTCATCATCACTGGCCATCAGAGAAATGCAAATCAAAACCATAATGAGATGCCATCTCACGCCAGTTACAAGGGTGATCATTAAAAAGACAGGAAATAACAGATGCTGGAGCGGATGTGAAGAAATAGGAACGCCTTTACACTGTTTATGGGAGTGTAAATTAGTTCAACCATTGTGGAAGACAGTGTGGGGATTCCTCCAGGATCTACAACTAGAAATACCATTTGACCCAGCAATCCCATTACTGGGTATAGACCCAAAGGATTATAAATCATTCTATTATAAAGACACATGCACACGTATGTTTATTGCAACACTATTCACAATAGCAAAGACTTGGAACCAACCCAAATGACCATCAATGTTAGACTGGTTAAATAAAATGCGGCACATATACACCATGGAATACTCTGCAGCCATAAAAAAGAATGAATTCATGTCTTTTGGAGGGACACAGATGAAGCTGGAAACCATCATTCTCAGCAAACTAACACAGGAAACAGTAAACCAAACAACCACATGTTCTCATTCATAAGTGGAAGTTGAACAATGATAACACATGGACACAGGGAGGGGAACGTCACACACCAGGGCCTGTCAGGGGGTGGAGGGCAAGGGGAGGGATAGCACTAGGAGAAATACCTAATGTAGATGACAAGTTGATGGGTGCAGCAAACCACCATGGCACATGTATACCTATATAACAAACTTGCACGTTCTGCACAGGTATCCTAGAACTTAAAGTATAATAATAAAAAAACAAGATGCAAAACAAAACAAAAACTAAAATATATTTTAATAAATGTGATGCTTAAAAAAATTAACTGGTGATGACTTTTTAGATAGAATAACAAAAACATGGTTCATGAAAAAAATTGATGTTGAAATTTATTAAAATTAAAAATAATCTACTTTTTATTAATTTTACTAATTCATGAAAATTTGAAACTCTTTGATCACTCCAAATATAATTTTAATGCCACATTGCTCATACAAATGTAAATGCATAGTTTATAGAAATAAATGTGTATAAAGAAATAAATGTGATCGGGAGCAAATGACAAAAGAGATTAAACTTTCAAAAAAATCTAAAATTACAAAGTGCCTGGATATTTTTATTCCAGAAGCTGTCCAAATGCCTGTCATTGAACATCTTGGTCACATTTTCAATTCAGTATCTCCAATTATAACAATCACCGGAGTAAAGTTTGTAAAAAAATTTCTATTAAAATTTCCTATTTTCACTAGCATATGACTCCTTTCAACAATCTCTGTTAATTTTTACACTTTAGCTTCTCTGGTTATAGCTGAATGAGAAATTTGAGAACTGTGGTGAAAATACTTTTAGCTATGATTAGTTTTACTTAATAGATCTACTATAAAATTAGCAGACTGAAAATGAGATTTTTATTTTATTTTCCCACTTTTTTTCAAATTTCCTGATATCAGTAATACAATAAAGTATTGAAAGTTTGAGGAAGAAAATAAATAGGGAAGATTATGAAAATGTATTAGGTATGGACAGGGGTGCTATTAATTTTTAAAGATGGCAATATATATCATATGACTTTCCAACTGGAATCAATAATGTCAGAAAAATCCATCCCATTTGTTCATTGTACAGTGAATGCTTGCTACTCACACAGCACTATGCCAAGCGTCAGTCATTTATGTGAAAACACTGGTAAAAAGCTACCATAGCCTTTAAATAGGACATATTATGTCCTGATGCAGTCATTGAAATGTAAAGCAACTTTCAAAGTTGTAATCATCCCACCTTCTCAGATGAAAACACCAATGCCTACAGAGACCAAGTGACTTGCTCAAGACATATTCAGCTACTTAACAGATGTGAACATTAACCTCAGGACATCGAGAATGAGGTTTCCTGTTGATTTCAAATAATTTACCCTCTCCCACCCAACTCCCATCTTGAGATCACTGGGTTTTAACTTTTATTCATTTGCATCAGACGTGTTTGAAAGGAAGAAATTAAAAGAACTAGTTAGGGTTTCAACCAAATACACAAGACATAGAAACAGCAAAATCCATTGTATGACAGTCATTTTAAAACAGACTTACCACAGGAAATCAAAAAACTGGGTTCAGTTATATAGAAGCACTTCCGCTTTATATTTAAGGAAACCTGGGCTCAAGGCAGAAGACTCAGGAGGAGGAAATATTGGGGAAAATTGCAACACTGAAAAAAAGGAGCAGGTCCCATGTCTGCTAACCTCTAGCAGGCGTGGAGGGGTGGGGGGAAATCTGTGGATTTTCCTCGTTGTAAAAAAAACAATAGGAAATATCTATCTTTGTCAGTATTAAACTATCTTTTTATGTTTTTCTTCAGAGTTCACTACAGCATATAGATTGATTAGTCAATAACAAGGGACCTTTATAAATACATGAATGTTTTCCCATTGCATAAATGTGCCTTCATAAATGTCACCAATCTTGCTGGTTTCAGCATTCTTCCCTTGCCTTATCAGTGCCAAGGTTCTGATAATTTTGCACAATCAGTTTCCAGAGGACAGTCTGTCTCCTTTATCAGTATGTGAATCAAGCCCAGCCTCATCATTCAATTTTTTATCTCTGGGACTGAACCTTTCAGATAAATCAGGTAAAAATAAACGCAGAAGTCTTGGGTGTCATTAGGCCCTTGTTCCTAGTTCCTAGGACAGCCCTAACACTCATTTCTACCTCTGAGTCTTTTCTTTAGCTTGCCTTTTCTGAAGCTACCTACCTGCTACCCAGCCTAATAGGCTGATCCGCCAAGTAAAGACATGATTCCTAATTATATCCACCCCACGCTACCCAAGTACACAACATTTTACAATTTAATAGAATTTCTTACCCTCACAATGAAATTATTTATCTTATTTTGCTTTTCTGAGTGTCTAGTATGGCAGCAGACAATTAAGTAATCTTATTTGATGGGTCTGATCTCAAAGTCATTCTTTTCTGCAGCCATTTTGTTTCCCGTGTGCATGTCCAGATAAATGGTGACCTTATTTTATTAAACAGGAAGAATCAAATTTTGCCCTTCTTTCTAATAAATATACATTTTTAAATCTTTATGTCAACATGTTGTTAAATAAAGAAATTGCCATTCTACTTCTCTTCAGAACTATTTGAAGCTCTCCTGCTGTTTTTTTATTGCTAGAAAGTGTAAGTTGGACAAATCTAGCCCTCGTATTTTTTCCTCTTTACTTCACTACTTACTCTATTTCTCATTTAGGTAAAAGTGTGGGCTAGCCATCAAGGTAGCTCAAGTGGTCTGTGTGTATGCATATGTGTATGTATACTAATTGAGAAGGAAATAAGTAAAATATAAATTCTGTATTATCCTTAAGTTATCCTTTTTACTGGTGTACATTCCATGCAGATACAGAATAACCTACAAAGACATTTAGAGTATAGGTATTGAATGATTTATTTTGAACTGATGTTTTGGAGGAAAAAAAACCCTTTATAGGCCTAGACCTAGCTATACATTTTATTATGCTATTTATGTCTTGATTATGAATAGAATTTGCTAATTTGTTAGAAGTAGTCTGTGAAAGTATCTTTGGTTGCTACCTCTAATAATTCCAATAACTCTGAAAATATCTTTAAAAGCATATTAGAAACAGTAGAAAATTCCAACTTTTAATATCACAGTAAATTGTAGCCATTTCAATTAATATTATTACAGTCAGTTGAGCAGAACGAAATTATAAGTTTCACAATGCCCTTGCCCCCATTTGACAAACAAAAAAGTAAGACACATAGCAGCCTATTACTTAGAAGGATACTGAAGCTTGAAGCACACGTATTAAATTTGGGCAGTCTTGGTGAAAATGAGAACTGGTTTCCTCATTATACAATCTGACATCCTTCATCTAAAACCAAATGAGATAATAAAGCAAGAGAAACGAGATATATTTTCTGCATAAAGAACCATATAATCCTTTACCTCATTTAAATAATAGATTCATAATTTTATTCCCACTAAACTCTTCTGTGAAACATTAACATGCTTACTAAGACCACATGCTCAAAAACATACTTGATATTTCTGTATAAATGTTATGTGCATAAGTACTCACGTGTTTAGATTTCTGTCTAGTGATTTTTGTGGAGTTTTTCACATCCATTTACTCTAAACTGTAAGAATATAAGGAAAGAGTTTTCTAAAAATAGGGTGACAAGCAACTTTTAATATAAAACTGAGAGTGACGCTGAACTAATAATATTTAGTGTACATGTGAAAATGATGTGTACCATTCTTAGAATATCCAGTTTAGAAATAAGATTTTTAATTCCTGGAGATAGAGCTAATTTAAAGAATCAGCTCAAATTTGTCCTGATTGTATTTAAAATAAAAATCACTTATTTTGCTTTACTCTTATGTTTAACATCTTTTCCAAATTCTGAAGCAAATTGAGTGGTAGACACAACTGTTTACATTTTCATTGAACAAGTGGCAACGAAATCTCTGAAACTTAGACAATGATTATACGTCCACGTTCCAATATGTAATACAAAAAGCAAATATAAATTTCACATAACCTAGAATATTATGCCTAGTACAACATTATCCTTTCCTGTATGCATAAGCAGACACATCCCAACCCCACCAGTCCCAACAAATGGTACCTAAAGTCTGTAAAAGCAGATAAAAGCTCTAAAAATGAATCTGCTTTCCGAGATTATTGAGTGAAAAGACTGCTACATTTTTTATTCCCTAGCTTTTTTCTCTCTTGGAAATCTTTTCTGAAGTCACAAACTATCGATTCCATAATTCAGTTCCATAAAGAACACTGAATAAATATAGGTACCTTCCTTTTAGGAATTCAGAATCTAGTGGGGCCATCATAATATTATATCAATGGACCCTCATGGAAGTGTTTTTATTAACAACATTTTATACTCAATAACTCATTAGAGTTCATTGTTATTGTCCTATGAACAAATATCTATCTCCAAATCCAAAATAAAGAGTAAAGTGGGGCTGGGCACAGTGGCTCATGCCTGTAATATCAGTACTTTGGGAGGTCAAGGAGGGCAGATCATTTGAGGTCAGGAGTTCAAGACCAGCCAGGCCAACATGGTGAAACCCCGTCTCTACTAAAAATACAAAAATTAGCTGGGCATGGTGGCACTCACCTGTAGTCCCAGCTACACGGGAGTCTGAGGCAGAAGAATTGCTTGAACCTGGGAGGTGGAGGTTGCAGTGAGCTAAGATCGTGCCATTGCACTCCAGCCTGGGTGACAGAGCAAGACCCTGTCTCAAAAAAAAAAAAAAGAAAGAAAGAAAGAAAGAAAAAAAGAGTGAAGTGGTTCCAAAACAGCCTTGGAGTTCCCAGTAACTTAGCTGTGAGAGCAGGGGATTTTGAGCCCAAGCAGAGGGAGAGTAACACTCACGATCCCATTTCTCTCTCCAGCCCGATCAGCCTATTGTAATGATCTCAACGTTAGATCCCTCTCTACTCAATATATCCAGAGTAGTGCCTTTTCTCAAAATGGAGACTCCCGACTGGATAATACTAGTATGAAATAGATCCACCTATTTTATTTTCAATTTAGCTGGGTAATTTGTACATGTGAAAGAATGCAGAAAAATACCAACTGCCTGTTACAATTATAGATTAGTCTTACTGTAATTATTTTATGGAAGCTGCCTGAATATAAACAGAGGAATGCAAGGTCAAAAAAATAAGTCAAGTCTGGAATAAAAGGCAATTGTACAGTATGCTATGCTCCACACAAGTTATCTTCCTTTTCATAAATTACAGTCCTCCATCTATTAAGTGAATGAAGACAATGACTACTGGGTGAGTCTTTTTTTCAAATGAATCTTGAGTGACTATTCAATGATGAGCGGACCTTCAAACAGAATCATCATCAGTCAGAATAAATACAGAATGTTCAGCTCCTCAAGCTGCTTAACGGCTGTCAGGATCAGTAAACAAAACAGAAAATCTAAACATGCAAATATACATGTAATAAAATACCATCATGAAAGTAGGAAAAAAGTGAATGTATTTCGGTAGATCACTGAAAGTTAATGCCACGTTGGAAAATTCCAATGAAATGTAGAAAACACTGAATGGATTGCTGTTAACCTATGAATTTTTCTGACTGGCAGTTGATTTGCTAAGAAACATTAGAATCACATTTATTATCTTAACATATTTTAATAAATGTAGCATTCACTCTTTACTGATTGAATTCAATATTTATTGATTTCCTACTATATGCTAGGAATTCCAAATATAAAGGCAGCCAGAACAATACACTGCCCTCACCTTAAGAATCTCAAAGTCTAATCATTTTCCCCTTAAACAATGGTCACCCTAAGCTATGTTTAAAATTCTAAATTGTGAAAATGTAACACTCATTTCTCAAGCAAAAAAAAACTTTACTTCAGAATTTGTTTTCCAAAATAATACTTTACATGAAGAATAGAATTTTTACTTGCCTGAGATATAGATTATACTTTAAAATAGAAAGGAAATTTATCTGACATTGAAGTTTTTATATTAAAACTATAGATCATTAACACAATGTGTAAAGTGATGGAAATGATGAAAATCCAATAATCTATGTCTCACTTCTTAAAAAATATATTTGTAGTAAAAAAAAAACTATTTGGAAAACAAATATTTCTTGTCTTTTTACTGTGTACCAGGTATTGTGCTAGACACAGAGTACAAAGAAATGTGATGCAGCTCTGTCCCCAAGATATTCACAGTTTTATATGCAAAACTAGTCACTTTAGAGCACTTCAGAAAGGAAAATGCAATGCTCTTATTAAAAATGGTAATAATTGACTATTATCATTTCCTACACAAAGCCAGTACCAGATATGCCTAAAACATTGCTATTCTTGCGTCTTTTCAAAATCATATGAAAGCATATTTTCCATTTAAGAAGAAAAGTATATAATGACTCTTTACTTGGCTCAGCCTACTTTTTAAACAAATATCTATTATAAAACTTATTGTACAAAAATTACAGGCTTTTTGGCAGGAAAGGCAAAGAGGGAAAAATTGTGATTTAAAGGAGAACAAAATGTCACCCTGAACTCATCCTGGGTCTCCAATGTTGCCAAACTTTAACTGGCTTCAGTGACAAAGGAAAGGAAATATCTGGTCATTTTAACCAATGTTTTCAGTAACTTTTAACCCATACTCATAGCCAGGTTTCATACAAGTAAGTAAATAATTTTTTATAAAACAAACCAAAACATTTATACACAGCTAATCCTGAGCTGCCATAGGATATGATTCCCTTGACACTTCTTTTATGCACATTTTTTAACTTTAACTTTTTTTAATTTCAATAGGTTTTTGCAGAACAAGTGGTGTTTCATTACATGAATAAGTTCTTTAGTGGTGATTTCTGAGATTCTGGTGCACCCATCACCTGAGCAGTGTACACTGTACCTAACGTGTAGTCTTTTATCCCTCAACACCCCCCTACCCTTTCTCCCAGTCCCCAAAGTCCAACCTATCATTCTATGCTTTTGCTTATGTATTCAATTGCATCCTCATAGCTTGGCTACCACATGTGAGGAAGAACATACAAAGTTTGGTTTTCCATTCTTGAGTTACTTCACTTAGAACAATAGCCTCTGATTACACCCAGGTTGCTGTGCATGCCATTTTTTATTGATCAATAAACTTTCATATAAACATACATATAAATGTAAAGCTTTACATATAAATGTAAGCCATACAAGCTTATGAAAGCCATATAATGGCTACATTGATAAAGTATACACACAAGGGTCAACATTTCTATGAATTAGTTTATCAGCCTTTTTTGAACAACTATTATGTGTTCAGAAGAAATTACTTTGGCAACTAGCTAGAAAACATTTATTGTTTGATTATTCATTAATCATTGACTTCATTTTAATTATTCATTAAAAATCATTGACTTCCTTCTTGACTTTTCCTTCCCAAGAGATTGTTAACAGAAATTCCATAATTGATGGTTGTTTTAGCTTATCAGAATTGTGGACAGATTCTTATTTCAATACAGGCATATGTTGTTTTATTACAATTTGCTTTACTGTGCTTTGTGGATATTGTGTTTTTTTACAAATTGAAGGTTTGCAGCAAACCTCTGTTGAGCAAGTCTATTAGCACCATTTTTCAAGCAGCGTGTGATTACTTCATATCTCTGTGTCACATTTTGGTAATTCTCATAATAGTTCAAACTTTTCCTTATTATTATATCTATTATGATGATCTGTGATCAGTGACCTTTTTATTTATTTATTTTTATTTATGTATTTATTTTGATACAGTGAGATACGGAGTTTGATACAGAGGTTGCTCACTACAACCTCAAATTCCTGGGCTCAAGTGATCCTCCCACCTCAGTCTCCTGAGTGGCTAGAACTACAGGCACAAACCACCAGGCCCAGGTAAAAAAAAAAAAAAAAAATTATAGAGATGGGGTTGCTCAGGCTGGTCTCAAACTCCTGGAATATCTTTGATATTACTATTGTAATATTTTGGGGGAACAGCCATGCCTATATAATATGGAAAACTTTTTTTGTGTGTATGCGATAGAGTCTTGCTCTGTCTCCTGGGCTGGAGCACAGTGGCATGATCACAGGTCATTGCAGCCTCAACATCCTGGACTCAAATGATCCTTGCTTAATTGATAACTGTTGTGTGTGTTCTGACTGTTTCACCAACCAGCCATTCCACTGCCTCTGTCCTCTTCTTGGGCCTCCCTTTTTTCTGAGGTCAACAATAGTGAAACTAGGACACTTAATAACCCTCCTGTGGTGCTAAGCATGCAAATGAAAGGCAAAGTTACACTTCTCTCACTTTAAAATCAAATCTAGAAATTATTAAGCTTAGTGAAGAAGGCATATCAAAAGCCAACCTTGGATGAAAGCTAGGCTTCTTGAGCCAGCTAACCAAGCTGTGAATGCAAAGGAAAGGCTCTTGAAGGAAATTAAAAGTGTTACTCCAGTAAACACACAAATAATAAAAAAGTGAAACAGCCTTGTTGCAGATATAGAGGACATTTTAGTGGTCTGGATAGATCAAACCAGTCACAACATTCCCTTAAGCCAGAGGCTAATCCAGAGCAAGGCCATAATGAAGGCTGAGAAAGTTGAGGAAGCTGCAGAAGAAAAGTTCAAAGCTAGCAGAGGTTGGTTCATAGTTGAATAAAAGAAGCCATCTCTGTAACATAGAAATGTAAGGTGAAGCACCAAGTGCTGATGAAGAAGCTGCAGCAAGTTATCAAGAAGATCTAGCTAAGATTATTGATGAAAATGGATATACTAAACAACATATTTTCAATGGAGATGAATACAGCCTTCTATTAGAAGAAGATGTCATCTAGGACTTGCACACCTAGAAAGGAGAAGTCAATGCCTGGCTTCAAAGCTTCAAAGGACAGGCTGACTCTCCTGTTAGGGGCTAATGGAGCTGATGACTTTAAGCTGAAGATAATGCTCACTTGCCATTCCAAAAATCCTAAGGCCCTGAAGAATGTTGCTAAATCTACTCTACTTGTGCCCTAGAAATTGAATAACAAAGCCTGGATGATAGTCCATCTGTTTATAGCATGATTTACTGACTATGGAAAGCCCACTGTTGAGACCTACTGCTCAGAAAACAAAGATTCCTTTCAAAATATGAATGCTCATTGGCAATGCACCTAGTCATCCAATAACTCTGATGGAGATACATATGGAGATTAATCTTCATTTTATGCTGTTAACACAACATCCATCCTGCAGCTCATGGATCAAAAAGTAATTCTGACTTTCATCAATTATTATTTAAGAAATCTATTTCATAAAGGCTATAGCTGCCATAAAAATTGATTCCTCTGATGAATCTGGGAAAAGAAAGTTGAAAACCTTATGCAAAGGATACACCAGTCTAGATGCCATTAACAACATTCATGATTCATGGAAGGTAAAAATATCAACATTAACAAGAGTTTGGAAAAAGTTTATTCTAAATCTCATGGATGACTTTGAGGAGTTCAAGACTTCAGTGGAGGAAACAACTGCAGATGTGGTCAAAATACGAGAGAACTAAAATTGGAAATAGAGACTGAAAATCTGACTGAATTGCTGCAATCTCATGACAAAACTTCAACGAATGAGTAGTTGCCCCTTACGAATAAGCAAAGAAAGTAGTTTCTTGAGATGGAATCTACTCCTAGTGAAGATGCTGTGAACATTATTGAAATGACAACAAAGGGTTTAGAGTATTACATCAACTTAGTTGATAAAGCAATGGCATGGTATGAGAAGATTGACTCCAATTTTAAAGGACGTTCTCCTGTGGGTAAAATGCTATGAGACAACATTACACGCTATAGATAAATCTTTCATAAAGTGAAGAATCAATCAATGTGGTGAACCTCAATGTTGTCTTAAGAAATTTCCAGAGCCACTCCAATCTTCAGCAACCACCACCCTGATCAGTCAGCAGCCATCAACATCAAGGCAAGACCCTCCGTCGGCAAAAGGAGTACAATTCACTGAAGACTCCGATGATTATTAGCAGTTTTTAGCAATAAAGTATTTTTTAATTAAGGTATTTATATTTTTTAGACATAATATTATTGTGCACTTAATAGACTATGATATAGTGTAAATATAACTTTTGTAGGTACTGGGAAACCAAAAAATTATTTTAACTCACTTAATTATGATATCCACCTTATTATGGTGGTCTGGAACTGAATCCACAATATCTCTATGGTTTACCTATAATAGTAGAGTGGTCGAATCTCCCATAGACAATACTTATAAACTCTTGACAAAATATGAATAAAAACAACCTTTTTAAGGCATTGGAGAATGAGCGAAGCTTACATAACTTAGGGGAAAACATCCTTGTAAGAGAATTAATGCCCTGGGCAAAATTTGTTTTTGCAGCTTCTTCTGTGAGGGTATGTCCCAGTCTGAATAGATGAGGGCATTCTGAATGCGTAGGATGGCGTTTAGGTCTGACAGAGAAAATCCCCAATGAGGACAGCTATAAAGGAGAAGGGCTAAATCTGTTTATAAACTCTACCCAAATCCTTGGTTAATCCCTGAACTATATATACTCCAGAGGTTCAAGTGAAGGAAATAGTGGAGGCCCAAGAAATTGAGGGGAAATTTCAATTGCTTGTTCACCAAAGGAGTGACAGAATTAGGAGTTACAGTTTAGCTAAATTAATTGTTGGGTAGGACAAAAGCCAAATTTTGAGATTTTTCATTGAAATATAACAAAATTCAGAATGCCTACAATATAACAACTAAAATGTACATTACACGACAAAAATTACTAGACATTATTTTAAAAAGAAAGCAAAACAAAAACAAAATTCCCATATCAAGAGAAAAAAGTCAATAAAACCAACCCCACAATTACCCAGATGTGATAGTGTAGATTTCAGAACACCTACTATAAACATGTTCAAAAGTGTAAATAAAAATATTACTGAATGAATGAACAGAAAGAAAATGTTAACAGAAATTTGGAAGCTATAACTGTGAACTAAATGGAAATTTTAGAACTGAAAATTACAATGTTAAAATTAGAATTTTGCTTAATAGGCTTAACAGCAGAATTGAGATTCCAAGAAAAGCACAATAAATGAAGAGAGATAAATAGAAATGTTCCAATCTAAAAAACAGAGAAAGAAAGATTGAAAAAATGATTAGAACACAGCTTCAGTGATAGATATATGAAACAATATTAAGTCATCTAACAGTTGGAATCAGAGCCTAAAAAAAGAGCAGAGAGAGGAAGAAAAATATTTTAAAGAAATAGTAGTTGAAATTATCATAACTTTGGTGAAAATTACAACCTTGAAATGGAAAGGAAAAACAATAGCAAATGCCAAGCAGGATAATAAAACAAACAAACAAATATCTAGGCACATTACAGCCAAATGGCTGAAAATAAAGAGTTGAGAGAAAATCTTAAAATCAACCAGAGGAAAATGAGTATTACATTTGGAAAAGGGGAGCAACAATAACCAAAAAACAAAAACAAAAAACTTATTAAGGGCCAGAAAACAATACAACAACATCTTTAAAGTACTGGAAGAAAAATCTCAACCCAGAATTCTAACCTCCTGCAAATATTCCTTGAAAAATTACAGCAATAACTTAACAAAAATAGCTAACTTTGGATGAACTTTGAAGATATTATGCTAAGGGAAATAAGCCAGTCACAAAAGGACAAATCCTGTATTACTCTATGCAGATGAAATAACTAAAGGGTCAAAAATCATAAAAACAGTAAGTAGAAATCTGATTAGAGGAAAGAGAGAGTATTTATATCTAATGGTATAGAGTTTCAGTGTTGCAAGCTGAGAAAGTTGTAGAGATCTGTTGCACAAAAATACTTAACACTACTAAACTATATACTTGAAAATGGTTAAGATGGCAAATTTAATGTTAAGTGTTTTTATCATAATAAAATAAAGTTTAAAAAGCTATAAAAATAAAGACATTTTTAGATATATGAAAATTAAATTTGTCAGCAGCAGACATGCATTACAAGAAATGTTAAGGAAAGTACCTGAAGCTGAAACAACACCAGATGAAAACCTGGATACAAGTAAAACCGGGTAATAACTCAGGTAAATAAGAGCTGCATAAATGGAATTAAACTGATGCCAAATTGCTATTTTTGCTGGAATTAAGTCAGTATTAACTTGAAGTAGATGAAATATATAATATGCATCATTTTCATGGGTATATGATACATTCTGCAGACAATATTGTAGGCCATAATACAAGTTTCAAGAATCTTTGAAGTATTTAAATAAAACAAAATGTATTCTCTGACCACAATGGAACTAAATTAGCAATCAGTGGAAAGAAATATGAGAAACCCCTAAATATTTGGAAATTAAATGATACATATTTAAATAACACAAGTCAAAGAAATCACAAAGCAAATTAGAAAATTTCTTGAACTAAGTGAAAAAAAAACAAACTCCACAACATATCAACATTTAAGTAATGCAGTGAAAGCAGTGTCACTTGGCCCTTGTCACATGACTCTGAAGGAATTAGGGCTCAGGGAATCTAGAAAATTTTGGAATGATTCCTATTGCTATTGCTGTGAGTTGCATACTGTCCTTTGCCTCTGACCCAAGAGTCTTGTATCTTTTTCCAGGATCCAAAATCTGTGGCAGGCTACCTTGTTAACTCAGAAGTAGAATAAAATCTCAGATCCTTCACAGTTCTTGACAAAGATCTATAAATCATAATCCAGGAACAGATCTAGTATATTTAAGAAGTTAATGTTTAACAAAGGAGGAATTTTAATTCAGTGGAAAACTGTGAAGTTCAACAAATGGTATTGAAACAACTGGCTTTCCAACTGGAATAAAATTAAAGCAGACTCATTATTTCACCATGTACATCAATAAATTTCAGAAGAACAAAACACTTAAGTGTAAAACATAAAACAATAAAATTCACACACAGTTTATAATCTCAGGGGATCGTCTTTACCATAGAGAGAAATCCAGTAGGTATAAAAAGAAACTTATTTAAGTTACAAAAGTTTCAAAAAATTGTACGACATTAGGTACCAAAATGTAACAGATAAACAAGAGACACTGATAATATTGCAATGCAAACAAAAAAGATTAACATATAATATGATGAATTATGCCATGAGCTTTTAAAAATAGGCAAGGCGGAGATAAACTAACCTGTAGAAAACTACACAAGGATATGAAAAGGCAATTCATGAACTCCTGATCTCAGGTAATCCTCTGGCCTCGGCCTCCCAATGTGCTGGGATTATAGGTGTGAACCCTGTCTCTACTAAAAACACAAAAATTAGCCAGGCGTGGTGGCGTTTGCCTATAGTCCCAGGCTACTTGGGAGGCTGAGACGCAAGAATTGCTTGAACCCAGGAGACAGAGGTTGCAGTGAGCTGAGACTGTGCCCGCGCCACTGGGCAACAGAACGAGGCTCCATCTCAAGAAAAAAAAAAAAAAAAGAAAAGAAAAATGAAAAGGCAATGCACAGATCTTACCCAAATGACAAAAAATATATATATTAGAAAAAGATGTCCAATTATAGTAGCAATAAGAGTGCAAATGAAATTTGCTGTGATATAATATGCTATCCTCATAGGCAAAAATTAAAAATTATCATCTCTTACAGATGGAGCATAAGAGAACATAAGATTATATTCTTATATACTTCCTACGGAAATGTAGCTTGCTAGAAACTTTTGGAAAATGATCGATCAACAACTATTAAAATTAAGAATATTGAATGTGTACTCCTTCAAAATAGCAACCAGACATATGTACAAGAATATTAATTGCAACACCGTTCATAATGACTGAAAGTGCAAACACACTGAATGCCCATTGTCAAAAGAATACTGGACAACTTATAGGATACACGACCATGACATATTATATAGCCAATCAAAAGAATAAATAAGAAGTAAACCATTGAATTTGAAAAGATTTCCAACTGCATTAAATGAGAAAAGCAAAACTCAGGAAACTGTATATTACTTAATTATTATTCATATCCATATATGTATATTTTATGTGATTATATAAGCATGAAAAAAATAGGAAAATCATGTTGTTAACATGGTATCTCTGTGTAGAGATGGTCAGTTTGATTTGATGGGAGAGGAAAGAAAAAAAAGAGTTCAGCAAAATGTAGAAGTGGATTCATAATATCATAAATTCATGAAATGTGTTCATTTCCATGGCTGTGTGTCTGTAAAATTTAACCATCAAACAACAAAGGAGTGTTTGAATACATAATAAGAAAATAATAGAATCTCTAAGTTATTGTGGTAAAAGGTGGAAAAGTACTCATTTTGATTAAGTAATCTGGCCTTAAATTTTGCCTTTGCCAATTACTAGCCTTGAAACTTTGGGCAAATTCAATAATCTCCCTGAGCCTCAGTTTCCTCATTTGCAAAATTTTATTAGACATATCCTAAATTATTTAGTTTCACAGGGTTGTTACAAAGGTTACATTCTATAATGTATGTTACATTTATAATAAATTGTAAAATTTGTACTGCATGACTGTTATTATTGTATTATAATTAGAATTATATAAACTATAGATTGCATCCTAACCTTTCCATAAGCTGCTAAAGTTATCACTATGCAGAAATTATCCAGTCTTACTTCCAAAGTAAGGCAATGTTGGCACCGAAATGGAAAAGAATGATAAAAATCTTAAGCATATAAGTGGAGACTAATTTACTATAAGCTTTCCTTACAGCAACCATAACTTACCCTCCAAAATTTTTGGTTAAATCTAGGGCAACCTGAGTATCTTTCATCAGAAATATTGGACGTGCACAATTTGTATTTGACCTTGTTCACAGTAACGCAAAATACTGAACAGGTGTTATTTTTCTGATTCTGCCTTACTGTTTCCTCACTTACCCATGTAACCATGAGGAAATCCAGAGTGAACATTAGAGATAAAGGAATCAGCTGCAGATTACTATAGAACCCAAGAGTCACCCCCATACTGGCCAATTACTGGTAGAGCAAAATTCTCAGTTGCATTCTCAGCCTTGCTACTCATAGTGTGGTTCATGCCCCCAGCAACGTCAGCATCAGCTGACAGTTTATTAACGTGAATCATCTTAGGTCCCACCTCAGGTCAGATGAATACTCTGCATTTCAACAAGATTCCCTGGGTGATTTATTTGTACATTACAGTCTAACAAGCAAAGTCCTAAGCTATGTCTATCATGGAAAGTTATATACGGCTGCATAGATGCACGAACTGTTAGAAAAGGACATCAGAAGTCATTCTGGCCAGTGATTTTTCTGGCCATTGTGGTGGCTCACGTCTGTAATCCCAGTGCTTTGGGAAGGTAAGCTGGGAGGATGGCTTGAGGCCAGGAGTTCAAGACCAGCCTGGGAAACATAGCAAGCCCATCTCTACAAAAAATAAAAAGCCTTAGCTGGGTGTGGTGGTGCATGCCTGTAGTCCCAGCTACTCAGGAGGCTGAGGTGGGAGGCTCACTTGAGCCCAGGAGGTTGAGGCTACAGTGAGCTCTGATGTTGCCACTGCACTTCAGCCTGGGAGACAAAGCCAGACATTGTCTCTAAAAGCATATTTTTAAAAAGGTGGATTTCGTGAGCCAGCTTGAAGGAGAGTTGTTGGTGGATGGAGTTTGTAGGAGTTGTGTGTCTATGTGAGGCAAGGGGTGGAGGTGGGTATAGGTAGGGAAAGACAGTGAAAGTGGTATAGCGGAGGGCTTGCCATCTGCTGGTTACAACTTGCCTAGCCCTGAAGATGCCTATCTCAGCGCTATAGAAAGGAACGTCAGGCCAGCCAGGCGCGGTGGCTCACGCCTGTAATCCCAGCACTTTGGGAGGCCGAGGCAGGCGGATCACGAAGTCAGGAGATCGAGACCATCATGGCTAATATGGTGAAACCCCATCTCTACCAAAAAATACAAAAAAAATTAGCCGGGCGTGGTGGCGGGTGCCTGTAGTCCCAGCTACTTGGAAGGCTGAGGCAGGAGAATGGCGTGAACCCGGTAGGTGGAGCTTGCAGTGAGCCCAGATCACGCCCCTGCACTCCAGCCTCAGCAACAGAGCAAGACTCTGTGAAAGAAAGGAAGGAAGGAAGGAAGGAAGGAAGGAAGGAAGGAAGGAAGGAAGGGAGGGAGGGAGGGAGGGAGGGAGGGAGGGAGGGAGGGAGGGAGGAACGGACGGAGCGGGAGGGAGGAACGGACGGAGGGGGAGGGAGGGAGGAAGGAACAAACGAATGTCAGACCAAAACTGAAGGTCTACCCCTCTGGAACCCTGGGAGACTTCTGCTCACAAGTTGTGCTGCTTTGGTTCCAGGTAGCAAAATGTCACAAAATGGAAAAAGAGACTGTCTTCACACTTCAACCTGGGACAAGAACACGATGATGGTCAGCAGAGGACTTCAGGAAAAGCTTACTTAGAATTTCTCCCAATGCTGGAAAGCAATCATCGGGAAGAGAGGAAGCATAGACCCCCACATATTCTCCTGATGGCCACTGGTACCTCTGACTGCACTGAAGCAGCCCCAAGCAGCATCCTGGGACTCAGCATCGAGGGAGAACTGGCGTAGTAGAGAAGAACAGAATGAGCTTTCTCACCGCAGAGGAGTGAAAAAGCCTTGCTTTCGAGACACTTCTGGAGACATCCTAAAGTAACAGAGGCAGGGCTCTGGATGCTCTGCATAGGGAGGTGGTGAGGAGAAAGGTTGGTTTTGTTTCTTCATTTTACTTTTTTTTTTTCAAGAGACAGGATCTCACTCTGTCACCTAGGCTGGAGTGCAGTGGCAGGATCATAGCTCACTGCATCTCCAACTCCTGGGCTGAAGCAATCCTCCTGCCTCAGCCTCCCCAGTAGCTGGGACTACAAATACAAGCCATCGTATTCAGGTAAAATTTTTTATTTTATTTTATGTAGAGATAGAGTCTCACTACATTGTCCAGGCTGGCCTTGAACTTCTGGCCTCAAGAGATTCTCCACCTCAGCCTCCCAAAGTACAGGGACTACAGGTGTGAGCTACCACTTCCAGCTAAAGATTGTCATTTTTTAATGTGATTCCATTTGTCCTCCCATGCTAACTCATGTACCTTCATGTCACTTGGGGAAATACAGGTGACATTATGCAACATTTCTGTTTTCTTCTTTCTAAAACAGCAGCTAAATGTGGTTAAGCCATTCTTAGCGACTTCTAAGTTTCTAGGACCAAAGAGTTTCTATGTATTCAACGTATTTACCCACTTGGAAGCACAAATATAGCCGATTGATTTATATATTCCTAGTGGTAATATTTATAGTTAATGAAAGCATCAGACTTCATTCTTTAAAGCTATTTTTCCAGGATGGTAAAAAATGATTGCTAATACGTTATCTTGTTTTAGACTACATTTTTTCTTGTCATTGACAATGAAAATGTGCCTGTTTTTTATAGAGAGCAAGTTTAAGAAGATGTTTTCTATATTCTTAATTTAATTTGGTGATTATATAATCATCTCTCCTCTAAGGGAAACCAATGGCACTGCGGGTTTTTTTTTTTTTTTCTTATTCTCTGAACTAAACTCCTACAATCAAACAAAGAGGAGGCAGGACAAAAGTGTCTATTCATTTATAAGTAAAATAAATTGAACCTTGACTTATTAGAAAATGCAATTTGAGAATGAAAAATTACTTTCTTCACATAATGGCTTGGCATTTCTCATCCTTGCATACATCTGTTTCTTTTAAACTCTTAGCTTTTAGGCCTTGGCTGTTTTCATTATATTTAGAAAAATTGTCTTCAATTACATGACCCCAAACCAGGCCCTGGGCTCTTTACAAATCCATTTCTAATGTGCTGATCTTTATGCTGTACCTCAAAGACTCTTATCACTACGACTGAATGATACTTCATAATGCTGGAGAATCACTATTCCCAGCATCTTGAACAGTAAATGAATAGTCAAGCAAAACAGAATCCTAGTGCTATGTACAACTGTCCTTGAGAAGCTAAAAACACGAGATGTTTCAGATCTCAAATTTCAGCCCACATTCTCCCATCAAATGGTCTCCATTACAAAGGACTTCTAGTGCAGGTGGTAACATTTTTGACATTTATTTAACAAAAATGTATTAAACACCTAATATGTGCTTGCACTGATCCTTGTACTTGGAACTAGACCATGACCAAGATATGTAGAATTGTTCATGACTGTATCTGTGTCAATGTGGCTTTTAGTTGATTCCATTTCTATCTGTAGATTCCAGAAGGAAATAATCACATATGAGAAATATTTAATCCATAAGACAAGGTACTAGTTATGATATCAACAACTTGCTAAAAAGAAATGGTAGATATAGAATAAAGTGCAGTATTCCCCTGGCATTATGTGCTATTCAAGTCCTTGGTTTCTACTTCTCTTTATTGGACCCCACTTCCCACCACTAAGAGGGACAAGAGAGACTTGAAAGAAGCATGTGCTTTGCTCTTTGCTGATTCAATAGCAAGTCAACATCTCAACTTGTGGGCAGAAAATGTTGCTTCCAATGGCAGAAATCAATTAATTTGAGGGAAGCATCCTTCTTCTTGATTTAAGTGTAGTCTTTTACTACACACACTTTCATTTCCTGTCAATGAGAAGCAAAAGTAAAGGTGTTCTTGGAATGCATTTCTATTTAAAAAAAATTAAATGGTCAGGCACGGTGGCTCACGCCTGTAATCCCAGCACTTTGGGCTGTAATCCCAGTTCTTTGGGAGGTTGAGGCAAACAGATCATAAAGTCAGGAGTTTGAGACTATCCTGACCAACATGGTGAAATCCCGTCTCTACTGAAAATACAAAAATTATCCAGGCTTGGTGGCGCACACCTGTAATCCCAGCTACTCAGGAGGCTGAGGCAGGAGAATCGCCTGAACCTGGGAGGCAGAGGTTGAAGTGATCCGAGATTGTGCCACTGCACTCCAGCCTGGGCGACAGAGTGAGACTCCTTCTCAAAAAAAAAAAAAAAAAAAAAAAAAATTAAATGTAGATATAAATATACATGCAAAAGGATATTCCTTGCAGCAATGTTTGTAACAGTAAAAACTAGAAGCATCCTCAGCGTCTATCACTGGGGTCAGATTAATGAATTTTAGTAAAATACTATGCAGAATCAAAATCATGCTGTTTTTGCATTGTGGTAGGCTATATTCATTACCCCAATTTTTCACAGCTCCTGGTATTCACATTCTTTGTTAGTATATGCCCACACTGATTCTGCACTTGACCTTGTGATGGGCTTCAGTCAATAGGGTAATGGCAAATTCAATGCAAATAGAGGTTTGATAAAACTCTCATTGCCTCTGCATCAGCTCTTGGATCCCTGCCTCTGTAATTATAACATGCCTGAGCTAGCCTGCTTAAGAGACGTGAGAGGTAAATGGTGAAAAGCCAAGCTTTCCAGCTGATACCATTATAGACCAGCCAGCTCCTAGCCCACTTACTAACAGATGCATAAAAAAAAATACAACTAAGATCAACCTATATTTGAAGAACTACCAGCTGAAGCTATAGACACATGAAAGGTAAAAAAGGGCTATTGTTTTAAGTCATTAAGCTTTGGGATATTTTCTTACACAGCATTACACTGGTAATAGATTAATGAAATGTACTAACTCAATTTCAAAAAAAATATACTATTGAGTCATGAAGGCAAGTCAGAAAAATGATTATAGGATGATTACATTATACAAAAAAGATGTCTGATTCATATATAGAAAAAAGATCTAGTACAGAGGGATATATACCAATATTTACAATATTTACCTCTAGGAAGAAAAATAGATTGGGGAGTATAAGGTAGATTCTTACTTTAAAATCTATATAATCTTTATTGATTTAAAAAAATTTTCCTAGTGAGCATATTTTCATGCATTACTTATATAATTTTTAAAAATCTTCAAGACAAACCACAGCTATAAATATCACCATCACAATATATATTTTCTCTTCACCTAGCTCATTTGTTAAAAGGACATAAAACTTTATGTGATGAATATTTTAGTGAAATTTCATGTGACTTGCAGAACACTTTGAAAATTGAAAATTGTTTAAAAACCTCTTCAAGGAAGATGTAAGATAAACAGGCAGACAGCAAGCATAAGAACAGATGTGTGGTTTACTAAGTTCTTCATACTATTTAAATATAGCCTTAATTAGGTTAGATGGGAAACAACAGAAAAAGAAACACTCAGAATCCTCTTGAACTATCTGGGAGGTTCAGCATTGTCAGTACAGTAGATATAAATACTATTTCCTTGAGCACAGAATTGTCCCAGTACTTCAGTTGTGAGAGATGTTATCATTTTAGAGCACCTAATTCTAAAGCATCTTTATTAAGGAAGTGTCTTAGTCTGTTTTCTTTGCTATAATGGAATACCACAGACTGGGTAATTTACAAAGAACAGAGGTTGATTTTGCTCACAGTTCTGGAGGCCAGGAAGTCCAAGCACATGGTCGCGGCATCTGGTGAGGGCCTTCTTGCTACATCATAACATGGCAAGAGGCCAAGAAAGTGCCAGTTCAGGTCTTTATCTTCTTATAAAGCCATCAGCTTCATCATGGGAAACCCTGCCTGATGACCTTAACTAACGCTAATTATCTCCCAAAGACCCCACCTCCACGTAACATCAACATATGAATTTGGGAATTAAGTTTCCAACACATACAATTTGGGGGACATACTCAAACCATAGCAGAAAGTTTCCATTAAGAATCATAAATTTTGAGTTTGATAATTTGGTATTTATATCCCAATTTAGTCACTTTTTCAATCTTTTGGAGTCGGAATTTTTAAATCTACATAAAAAGGTAAATCTATGTAGATTCTCACAAGATAATTGTGAGGGTTAAATAAGATACTTCCCTTCACTATATAAATAAATAATATTATTTAAATACCTTTTGAACCCACCAATAAAACACACAGAAGACAATCACTTATGGGGTAAGATTTTGAGAAAACCTGAATTTATTTTCCTGACCCTAAATATCATCCCCTCTCATTTATTCTGGATCATTGAAATTTTGCATTAGGAAATCCTTTACTTGGTTTAAAGAATGTTCCTTTTTTAGAATTTTACATCTAAAATCCCTAAGGGGAGAGTGAAACCTTAATGTAAGAATAGTGAGTCTGACCTTCACTAACTATGCAATGATGGCTACAATAAACAACTTATTTTGCAAAATTGTGAGAATCAAATAAGGTACTGAATATAATCATGCCTAGCACTAAGAATGGGTCATGTTAAGAAAGTAATAAACATTCTGTTGATCATTCTGACAAATCCAGTCCTGTTAAGTAGATTCCTAAAGCCTTCAAAATCCCTTTGAAAAAAAGCAGCTCAACAGAACTATAGATACCTAAAACATTACTATCAGATGGAGCTGTTAGACAAACTTTTATTGAGCTCCTGTCATCTGCCAGGTACTATAATAGACCTAACAATTGAAAGTCAAGTAAAATAAAAATAAAGGTCTCCACAAAATTCCCTATCTAGATTAGAAAAAAATGAAGGAAATAAGAATTCATTAAATAATGTGTTAAATGCAGTAACACAGTTGTGTTCGGGGTGCTATGGAACGAACCAACACAACAATGCTAGATTTCTAGTCCAGCTCTGTCCAAATATGTCAGCCACCAGCCATATGTGGATAGTGTGACTAAATAACTGAATTTTAAATTTTATTTAATTTTTATTAATTTAAACTAAAATGGTCACATAAGCTAGTAGTTACCATATTAAAGAGTGCAAATTTAAACATTTCCATCACTATGGAAATCTCTGTTGGAAAGTGCTGCTCTAGACAAGGAGTCAGTAAACATTTTCTGTAAAAGAGCAGATAATAAATTTCTTTTTTTTTGAGATGGAGTCTCACTTTGTTGCCAGGCTGGAGTGCAGTGGCGCGATCTCAGCTCACTGCAACCTCCACCTCCCGGGTTCAAGCGATTCTCCTGCCTCAGCCTTCTGAGTAGCTGGGATTACAGGCACACGCCACCGCACCCAGCTAACTTTTGTATTTTCAGTAGAGACAGGGTTTTACCATGTTGGCCAGGATGGTCTCAATCTCTTGACCTTGTAATCCGCCCACCTCAACCTCCCAAAGTGCTGGGATTACAGGCGTGAGCCACCGCGCCTGGCCTGATAATAAATATTTCAGTCTTTATGAGCCACATGTGCTCTCTCAAAACAACTGCACTTTGCCACTGTAGTCCAAAAGTAGCCCAAAACAATGTATTATACAAGTGAGTGTGGCTATGTTCCAATAAAACTTTATTTAGGAACACTAATATTTGATTTTCGTATAATTTTCCTATGTCACAATATTCTTTCTTCTTCCTCCTTTTTAACCATTTAAAAATGTAAAAATCATTCTGAACCATCAGGCCATCCAGAAAACAGGCCCTGATTTGTCCTGCAGGCCAGTGTCCCCTGCTGTAGACACTCAAGAAACACCTCAGACAGGTTTTATTTAGTTGAAATTTGAAAAACTGGCACTCACCAGGCTTATAATGTTCTACAGTAAAGTAGAAAGGGAGGAGGAGAAGAGGAAGGAGAGGAAAAGAAAGAGGGGGAGGAAGAGGAAGAAATGCGGAGAGAAATAAGGATAAAAGAAGACAACACATTCAGGGAACACAAGTAAAGCTGAGTATAGAATACATAAGGGTGACAGTGGCTGAAGATAAATTTGGGAAGCAGGGTCAGCAACTTGTAAGCCAGTGCAATGTCCCTTCTTGTAGGTCTATTTGAGTTCAGCTAAGTAGTCAAGCCCACAATACTAATAGGCTGCACTTGGCATGAAATTAATTAAAGGACTGCAACATGCCAGCAAGTCAGTGTCAGGCATGTTTCCTCAGCAGGAGTTCTCACTGCAACCCACAGCCCAATCCTCTTTATCCCCAACCCCAGCTAGCACTTGAGTACTAAGGAATGGTATCTGGATGTGGGAGCCACATCGATTTAGTAGCTCCACACCCCGAATAGGAACCAATGTATCTTATAACAGTCCTGTAGACACAGCTTTTAGGGATCCAAAGAGACATGCCCCAATGAAACCATCACCACACTGAAGGAGTCAATCCTGTGGTTTCCCACTTGCAATGCTCCTTGAGCAGGTGCAGTGTGTCAATAAGCAATTTTTGCCATTTGTAATATGGCCCAGTAACACAGCTGGACATTCCACTTTTATTGAGTCTTCAGGGGAAAAGAACTAGAAGCACTTATTCAAGATCAGTTTCTCATGTAGAAAGGAAAAGAGTTGTTGACCCTTTACTTACAACTATGCTAAGGAACTTGGTCTTCATCTTATAGGGAACAGAAATCAATACAATCAAAGTTGCATTTTAGGAAGATTACTATGATATCAACATGGAGGATGAAGGATGGAGGATGGAGAAAGTTGGCAGCAGCGAGTGGGTTAGACTCTGAGAAACTGAAAAGGAGTTGTTTCAATAATGCAGGAGACCACAATGGCGTGAACTAAGGCAGAAATCATGAAGAGAAAACTGAAAAGATTTGATGACTAATTCAATATGGGAGGTGACAAAAGAGGAAAAGAGGACTGTATCAAAGGTAGTTCCCACATTTCTGACTTAATGACTAAGACTTGAGCGGCCATCAGTCGTTGAAATAGAAAATGTAAGGAAAGGAAAGCTGCCAAAAGTTGTATTAACCTTACAAGAAAAAGTAAATAGCAATTCAGCACCATTTACAAAAGAAAAATACAAAACAATCTTGATTTGTGTTCTCTTATGTGATATCTTGACCCAGAAAAAAATGCATAGTTTTCAGTCTTAGAGCTATCTAAATACAGAGAGTAGTGCTGCCAAATGCACCCACCTATGTTAGAACACTTTACGTTAGAACTAAGAAAAAGTGATTTCCTTTATTCAACTGCTGACCAACAGAACAGATCACTATAAACCCAATTTATTTGATGTGGTGAGTTAGAGGCTCCCTCATTAACAAGGAAGCCAACAAAGGGACTGATGTTGAAGGGAGGATCATTCCTGGTGCTTAATTCATGTGCTTGTTCACATATCAAATCTTGGTATTGTTCCTTTTGAATGACACATATATTTTGCCCTTGAAAGGGTCATTACAACCTGGTCATACCCTTAAAGAGGCATGGGAAAGTATGAATACAAGAAACAGATGGTATTCTCCTTTTAGACCTCCTTAGATTAGCAATTTTCAACAATTTTCTGACTGTAGAATACATATGACATGATCATATTTAAAAAAAAAAAAAAAACAAAGCTAGAGTTAGTGAAAAAAGCCACTAGAAGCGCTGTGTGGCAACCCTAAAACCTGCTGGTTTAGGAACTCTGTGTTAGATTACACCTGTAATCTTTACTTTCTAGCATCTCCCTAGTTCCCATTGCATTAGTGATCTAAAGCCAACCACAGAGTCTGTTTGAAGGAAGATTCTTCAAGGCCTGATGAGCCTGGACTTTGGGAAACATTTCTAGACAATCATCAAATCCATACCTTTTCTGTTACTGCTGCATCTGTAATACACTGCAATGCCCTGAATATCAGAAAGGTGGAAGAGTGAAGTTCCATTCCAAAAATGAAGTCTTGTTAATTATTCCTCAATCCTTCATGCTTATGGAAGTCTAGAAGGATGTACAGAACAAGTCCTTACGTTCAATGAATCATCTACTGCTATCCACAGAGTCCACCTGAAATGGGTTCTCTACACTATTCAAAATGACACACCAAAACCTTAACAATCCAAGGAAAAATTCCATCTCACTTCTCAGAATCACCCCAAAAAATGGCACCCTCACCATGAACTTAATATCAGAATAAAAGAAAGGTACAACCCAAAACTTTTCCTCAAGCTTTGCTGATAGCAAACATATTACAATATTTGGGCCTGGACAGATGCAATAGAGCTATCTTTCACTACAGGTTTATGGCACACTGAGATTCATAAGTTGCCCTATTCAGCTCAACCTACCCGCCTCTTAGACACCCATCAGGCCTTCATTTTGAACTGCAAATATTTTCCAATTGTCTCTTTCCCACATTCGTTGTTAAGAGGAGGTTTTTATGTCTTGTAAGCAGTTACCCTCAGCTTCCTTTTTCTCCTCTGTCAATGAAAATAATCTGTCTCTATCACTTACTTTTTTATTACTTTTGGCTATTGGTGCAACATCCTAAAAAATACAGAGAATGAGAGTGAAAAAGGCAGAAAAAACATTGGAGGGACTCAGAAAGACTAGTTTCAATGAACAATATTTGTTTAAATCTGGAAAAGAATGGGAATCAAGACAAAAATCTACCCTTCGGGTTTGTGGCACATGTCATTCCCAGAGAGCTGTCAGTAGGACATGCAAATCAACACAGTCATGGTCCCTTCTCAGAAATCTCAAGGTTTCCTGGAGCTTTAATCTTCTGCTTTGGTGTTTACATTCATAACCTTACAGTAGAGGATTTCTGCGCATGTTAACAAATCTCACCGCTGAGCAGCAAACAAACGTTCATTAGATGGTTGTCTTTGCAACAATTGGTCAAACAAAGAGCACCTTCATGGCAGGTGGGCGTCTATAGACTAACAGGAAATGAATGGGCACTGTAAGAACACTTCTGTGCATTTCTGCCAAAAACAGATAAAAGTTGAGCACTAGAAGACAAATACTCAACTCAACTTCACGAACTCCGCTTTCTTTAATTGAAGCAAATTGGGCTATTATATTAACCACATTTCTAGTTCCTGGAAGCTTGATGCTTTAACATCTGCCCTACACATGTATGCTGGACATAACTTGTTCTAGACAACAGAATAATACATATGACTTGCTTTGCTTTGTTCTTTTGCCTCCCTCATCATCCTTTTTTCCTCAGAAGGAGTTCACCTCCCAGGGATGCACTTTTCAAACAAACCAATCAAACTAGAATCCACATCCCCAACCACTTTTCTTATTGGACTTATTTTCTTATTGAACTCTCACACTCCAGGCGATTATATACACACCAGAGCCAGATACTATACAACTAGGGACAGTCTCTATGCCTCAGAGCCTGCTGAAATTATTCAAACTAGCCAATCTGAAGCCTGTTCACCCTGACTCACTCATTCCTTCCTGCAGAAATACAATAAAAGCTCTTACCTACTGTTTGCCCCTCTCCCTCTGCCTCATGTCCAACTCCAGTGCCAGCCCATGTGGTGCCCCATGGTGTGACATGCCCTTTCTTTTGGGAACTGTGAGTAATAAACTATCCTTTTGATAGCAGTTATCTCTTGGTCTTTTGAACTTATTATGCCCCAAATTTTCCATTATACACTATATTTTAGAACACCTGCTGACTTTCACTATAATATAGAACTGAGGAGAGAGAAACCATAGTGATTAGAAGGGAGAATGTACTAAAGTCAACTAAAGTTAAAGTTAATTCCTAGTAACTCTCATTTGGGAAGAAAAATTGTTAGAGAGCTACCATCTCCCAAGGGGCCCCCTGTCGTGATGCCTTATCTCTTCCTTCAGAAGGACGGAATAAGGTACCAAGAGTCAAAGCACTCAAGTCCACAAGGCTAGTCTGGCTCCATTTCTTTCCTAAAGTATTAGACCCTTTGATCAAACCATAAGTAAAATATTGATTTCAAACCCACAGGGTGTGTGAGAATTAAAGAAGTAATTGATGTGAAGTGTCTGTTCCAGTGCTTGGCACACCATAGTTGCTAAATAAATGGTAAATATTATTACTGGCACTACTAATAATACCTCATTATTCTTTTTCATTTTTTGTTTTACATCTCACTTGATGCTGAAATGGTAGTTAAGAACCAACCAGGCCCAAAATTTATGAATTGCTTCAAAAGAGTTAAAAACCAATGATTCATTTGTCAATAGAAAAAAAAAACATAACATTTGTTATTTTATCACTCACAAGTATTGTGATTTATTTTCACAATAAGCAGCCAGCTTGTCATGTTCCAGCCAATATGACTTATAAATTAGTCATACTGAGAGGAAGAGAAATCATAAGTGTCTGTTCCAAGGCAAGAAACCATCAAGCATTCAGTAATAAAAAGGCATAAACATAACTATAAAATAAAACATTTAAACATCAATAAACCTCAATCAAAAATATCACAGAATCTAGGTTCTAGCAGTGCATAGTGTTGGTGACTTGTATGATAGTTGTTTCCATCATGGGGTAGAGGGTTCCCAGATAGTTAGTCAAACATTAATCTGAGTGTGCCTCTGAGGGTTTCCTTTTATGAGATTAACATTTAAATTGGTGAATTTAGTAAATCAGATCACCCTCCCTAGTGTGGATAGACCTCATCCAATCAGTTGAGGGCTGGAATAGAACAAAAAGTCTGATCCTTCCATGAATAAGAGAGGATTTCTCCTGCCTGAATGCCTTTCAACTGGGACGTCATCTTTTTCCTGCCTTCAGACTTGAACTGAAATGTCAAGGCTTTCTGGGTCTCAAGTCTGCCAACTTTAGTGCTGAAACTACACCATCATCTCTCCTGTGTCTCCAGCTTGACAACAAACACTGGAGAACTTGAAACTTGTCAGCCTTCATAATCACATGAGCCAATTCCTTTAGAAAATCTCTTCCTATATATTTGGGGACTTCAAAACATTTGTGGGAACATGGAATTAAAAGGTAAAGATAAAAAATATAAACTTTATTTTCCAACCAAGCTCAGTCAAGTTCAGGACACGTTTGATATTATATCAGCCATTTAGTCCGTCCCCAAAGAACTGTGGGTCCTGGGAATTCAACCATGTCAATTTAGTCATTTTTTTACATTGTTAACTGAAGAAAATGGGCACACTTCAAAGATTTTTTTAAGATTAGGAACCAAAAATAAGTCAGAAGGAGCCCAATCGGGACTGTCAGTGGATGCCGAATGACTTCCTATTGCAACTCACAAAATTGCCATTGTTTGATGAGAAAAATGAGCAGGAGTATTATTGCGATAGAGAAGGACCCTCTGGTGAAGTTTCCCTGGTTTCTTTTTTGCTGAAGCTTTGGCTAACTTTCTAAAAAAAAAAAAAAATCTCATAATAAGCAGATGTTATCATTCTTTGGTCCTCCAGAAAGTCAACAAGCAAAATTCCTTGGGCATCCCAGAAAACTGTTGCCATGACCTTTGGTCTTGAACAGTCCACTCCTTGGTAGCCATTGCTTTGATTGTGCTTTGTCTTCAGGATCACACTGATAAAGCCATGTTTCATCTCCTGTTACATTTATTTGAAGAAATGCTTCAGGGTCTTGATCCCACTTGTTTAATATTTGCATTGAAAGCTCTCTTCTTGTCTATAGCTAGTCTGGATGCAACAGTTTCGACATCTGAATGGAAAGTTTGCCCAATTTTAATTTTTCAGTCAGAATTATTTAAGCTGAACCAATTGAGATGTCTATGGTGTTGGGTATTTTTTGTACTATTAGTCATTGGTCCTCGTCAATTAGGGCACAAGCAAGACAAATTTTTTCCTCACAAATTGACATGGATGGTCTTCTGCTGCAGGCTGTATCTTCAGCATTGTCTTGTCCCTTCCTAAAATGAGTTATCCATTTGAAAACTACTGGTTTCTTTGGTGCATCGTCCCCATAAACTTGTCATAAAGCATCCATGATTTCACCATTCACCTACTCAAGGCTTACCATAAATTTGATGTTTGTTCTTGCTTCGATTTTTACAGAATTCGTGTTGCTCTGATAGGGGCTATTTTCAAACAGATATCTTATCCTAATTAGTGTCCCAAACTAGGTCCTGTTCAGATACGTTATAACAAGTTAGTATAAGTTTATTTAGGTGCAAAAACAATTGAAATGCATGAGTAGTTTATTCATAGTATGCATTTTCAATGAACTTTTTGAAGACCCTCTCCTATATACATCTTCTTGATTGTTTCTCTGGAAAACCCTAACATGCACGTCCAAGGACCTGTAATAATAATGAGAATAAATAATTGCAGTGTTTACTATGTGCCAAGCACTGCTTTAGGCCCTTTATAGATATTTCCCCATTCCTTATCTCATTTCCCATTTGCACCAAGAATACTGCATGGGCAGTGGACTGCACTTTTTTTTTCTAAATGGGAAATAGGTTAAAAAGCAACCCAATGAGGAAGTACCATTGATATTTACAGTAGAGAAAACAGAGGCATAGAGAGATGGAATAATTTGTATCAGATTATATAATCAGGATTTGACTCTACACACTGTGGCTCCAGAATCTATGCTTCTTTCCAAAGTGGTGCTCTGCCTCTTATTTTGAGGAACAAAATACCTAGGGTGACATAGATCATCACTGGAAACCTAGTTATACTGTGGACAACTCTGTGTGACCTCAGCCCCATATTCTCATCCTTTAGAAAATGACTTGTAGGAATTTTATATGAATTAAATATTCAACTCATAATATGTAAAGTGCCTACCATATTTTCCTAACACATCTGATACTCAATGGTTGCTACTTTCTTTCCCCATTGTGAATGAAATTTTCTTGATTCTATTACCATAATCCTAGATAATATTAACCTACCAGTATTTCTGCTCACTGGAAAGTAATAAGCTTCTGTGTTCTTTCATTTTTTGCTGTTTTGATGATTTATCTTTCATACACTTTCAAAATTAGCAGTAACATAAAATCAACTCAGTTTTAATATCCACATTTCCATCAAGTTACACCACGCTTGCCCATGTTGTAAAATATATTTGCATAATTTCATTATCATGATAAAGTGAAATATGAGTTGCATTATGACATTAAAATAATATACCTTCTCTAAGGTCTGTAACTCTAGTTTCACAAATGTGACAGATTATTTTCTTATCCTATTCATGCTTTATGTGGGGAATTAACTTCCAGTTGAATTATATATAATTTGCATTGTTCTTTATTATAAGACATAAACTACAAGAGCTCATAAATTTTATAAATTTAAATTGATATCAGTAGCAGTAATGTTTTGTATACTTTGCATTTCTTTACATAAAACTGACTGTATTAGCACCTTTAGTACATTTTCATCTAGAGAATAGTCGAGGACACATCCATAGGCTTGCTTCTTTACAGCTGAGAAAATACCAGTGTTTTTCCTTGCCTATTCTTGTTTGGTTTCAATTTGAATATGGATATATACACAAATACAATTCTTTCTTTCTTAACAGTGGTATTAAGGTATAATTGCCATACAATAAACTGTACATTTTAACTCTATAATGTTTTGACATATATATACATCCATGAAATAATCATTATAATCACCACAATCAAGAGAGTGAATATATCCATCACCCCCAGAAGTTTTCTTGTGCCCTTTTATAAGTCTATCCTTTTCTCCTCCATTTTGGTGCCTTCCCATTCCCAAGGTTACCTCAGAGACAAGGTAACTTCCTAGTATTTATGCCCTTGCATAATCTCCTTCCTGTAAGTGTGGGCTGAACCTGTGACATCCTGCTAACCAAAAGAATATGGCAAAAGTGATGTTCATATTTGTCTGGTTCTATTGCTTGACTCGACCTGTTATCACATTAGTCACATCAGTTTGCCTAACTTGGCCCTTTTTTGCTACAAACAACAACAACAAAAATGGTGCTTGTTCTTAACAATCTAACCTCCACCTACTTCTTCAAGCCTATCTCCCATTAAACCCATGCCAGGCCGGGCGCGGTGGCTCACGCCTGTAATCCCAGCACTTTGGGAGGCCGAGGCGGGCGGATCACGAGGTCAGGAGATCGAGACCATCCCGGCTAAAACGGTGAAACCCCGTCTCTACTAAAAATACAAAAAATTAGCCAGGCGTGGTGGCGGGCGCCTGTAGTCCCAGCTACTTGGGAGGCTGAGGCAGGAGAATGGCGTGAACCCGGGAGGCGGAGCTTGCAGTGAGCCGAGATCCCGCCACTGCACTCCAGCCTGGGCGACAGAGCGAGACTCCGTCTCAAAAAAAAAAAAAAAAAAAAAACCCATGCCAAAGCCTCTTATCTAATCAAAACAAACTACTCATCTCCAAACAGGTCACAATTCTGAGGATTTTATTAATAACTAAGCAAGGTATCTTCCTACTTTTATAAATCATGCCACCATTCAAATTGTATTTCTACCTTGAGATCTAATCACATGAGTCTTCAACAATGATGACTTACTCTGAATCTATGAAGCTTAACAGTAGTGTTTTCTATTTGTGCTTCACATACTCAATCAAGTACAGTGATTAGCTCATAAATTCTATGAAAGCAATGAAGGAAAGCAGTGATCACATCTACTTCTTCTACTCATTATTGTATCATAAGAACCTAAAGTAGTGCCTAACAAATAATAAGTGATCAATAAATATTTACCTCCAAAATGTAACCTCGTTGTATTTCTTTTTTTTTTTTTTTTTTTTTTTTTGAGACAGAGTCTCGCTCTCTCGCCCAGACTAGAGTGCAGTGGCGCTATCTCGGCCCACTGCAAGCTCCGCCTCCCGGGTTCACGCCATTCTCCTGCCTCAGCCTCCCGAGTAGCTGGGACTACAGGCGCCCGCCACCACGCCCGGCTAATTTTTTGTGTTTTTAGTAGAGACAGGGTTTCACCGTGGTCTCGATCTGCTGACCTCGTGATCCACCCGCCTCGCCTCTTTGTATTTCTAAAACTTAATGCCATATGGAGATCAAGTAATATAACTTATATATGATGATGATGATTAACAATAAAGAAAAATTAGAAGAAAGGAAGATATGCAGCAAAAGAAATGGGATTGGTAGAAAATACAGTGACTGCTTTTTTCCTGAAAACTTATACATTTTTTCTTTTACCTAGTGATCACTGTAATAATTTTGTATTGAATTAAACCCTGTTTCATACCAGATAATGCTATATAACTTGTACTTACAGTTGAACAAAATATTTAAACTCTCTTCTATTTACATTTATCTCTTCATACCCAAGAACCATGAGACCTAAACCATTAAAAAAAAACAATAACAACTTTAGAAAGCTTACTGATCTGAAATCCACAGCTTGTACTTCTCATCAGTTCAGATCAATAACCATCTATTGAGTGCTAACTATAGGACAGTCATGCTTAGGTGCTGGGGTTAGAAGATGAATAAGAATGGTCAATACTCTTGAGGAATATTTTTTGTACTGTGGACTTATTAATAGAAACTTAAATAGATTATTCTAATGCAATATATTAAAGAACAACGAGATAGAAGGCACAACTTCAAGGGCTTGGCACCGAATAGTAAGCACAAGGCTGTGTGGATAGGTTTGCTCTCCAGTTCTTATCAGAAATATTTTCACATCATCTTGGTATTAAAAATATTCCACCCTACCAATATAAGCCCCAGATAAAAATGTATAAACTTCAGGATAAGGGATTTTGAGAACAAATTCAGAAGGGAAAAAATTCACATAATTCTTCTTTTGTTACTGTTGTCATAGGAGGGAATCTCAACCCAAGTGCTTTTCCATGACCTTACTATCTGGCTTTAGTCTATTATAACATGCTAATTGAATTCTAAGAGGGAGCATCTCAAGGACAAACACACCAAGAGACAGGTAGAAGCTGAAATGCCTCTTGCGACCTTGCCTTTTTACTGATGCAGCATTATGTTTGCCCCATTCTACTGGCAAAAATGGAATTCTAGGGTAAGTCAGGCTCAAAGACAGGGGGATACACAATGCTGTAAATACTGGGACATATGATTCATTGAGGACGGTATCATTGGAGGTTATTTACTATCCAAGAACTTTTTGATCAAAGAAAAGCATTTACTCAGTTGACAGTCCCAGTTGATTTCTCAGCTGAAGACCAGCATCAACTGTCAACCACATGAGTAAACTATCAGGAATCTCCATCCTGGTTGGGGGATGGATGGAGAATGGGAAGATGTTAGACAAAAAGTAGGAAGTTTCAGTTAAATAGGATGAATAAGTTATGGACACCTATTGTACAGCATGGTGATTATCATTAATAACAATGTACTGTATACATGAAAATTGTTGAGAAAGATCTTAAATATTCTCACTAAAAAATAATAAGTATATGAAGTGATAGATATGCTAATTAGCTAGATTTAATCATTTTACAATGCATACATAAATCAAAACATCATGTTTTACATGATAAGTATATATAATTTTTATTGGTCAGTTATGCCTTAATAAAGCAGGAAAAAATAAAAAGCAATTCTCTCCAATAACTATCCTTCACAATCAGAATATACAAGATCATGTCAACATGCACATTAAAAAAATAGAAAACACATTAAAATATTAAGAGGATATAGCTGTTCTCCTTTAAAGAAAAAAAAACCCAGCCCAGTTAAGTTTTTAGTAGGCACTGGTCCTAGTCATCATCTAATTAGAACCATATAAAAAACCCAAATAAGAATTGTCCAGGTAAGCCCAGTCGCCACAGAAACAAGAGAAATAATTGTTGTCTTAAGGCAATAAGTTTCCTGGCAGTTTGTGTTATACAAAAATAGATAGTAGAAACATCTTGCATTTTCCAGACATAAGAATGTGTGCTATAATATTTAAAGTAACAACTAAAGGAATAGAAGAATGACTATATAAATAAAAAGCCAATAGGTAGGAAAAATATAAAATAATAAAAATAATCCATTCAAACTTTAATTTCTAAGTATAATGTACTATTTCATAGCAGGCCAATGCTCTTGAAACAACAACTAGAAAAAAAGATAAGTAAATTACCAAAATCATACTTTTAAAGGTACTAGAAATGTATGGAAACAAAAAGAGTTTTTTGAAATAAAATTCTAAAGAGAATTTTAAGAAGTATATAAGAGGGGAAACTTTCTGAGAGAAGCTAATCTAATAATATCCAGGGGTTTTATGGTTTTCTGATTTTGTTTTGTTTTGTTTTCTTGGAACATAAGCTAATTTCTGTTGTAGACTAATGATTTGGGTTGTGCAAGCTTCAGGCTTGCCTAAGCACAAAGCTTCTAATGAGAGAACTGTAAGCCAGAAAGACTTGTAGTAATCACAGAGGAAATAGCGTGGCAAATTAAAAACTTGAAGAAATTGAAACAATAGTTGATGTGTTTATAAGGCATTTTCTGCATTTTGATTTTGTAAAGAAATACGATACTACAGGTCAAATTCTTTTATAGGCAGACTGAAATTCTCTCTATTTTTTAATGCTAAGAAATATAAACTTGTTTCAAGCACACTGTCAAGTTTATCTTCAAGATATTTGCCACATTTTGAAGATAGGCAGGGTATGAGCCTAGAGATTTGGGCTCTGAAGTAAAGAACTGGAACTTCTGTAGTATTTTACACCTGAGAAAAATAAGACGATCCAAGCTCCACACATAAGGTCTGGGAAAGCCACATCCTCAAAGCAAAGGTGAACCAGAGGTTGACTGTGTGTTGCTGAAATTCAAACTCAGCTCCTACCCAGCTCAATTTTGAATTGGACTGCAGTAACAAGATTCTCATCTTACCTGATTAATAGAGGAAAAAATAAAGAACTCTCTCTGGTGGAAGTTTACAACATCAGGAACCTCCTTAATTCTTTATATGTCCAACATATATAAATGTTCAACATGTAATAAAAAACTATTATAATTGGAAAGAAGTCAGAAAATGTTACCTATTAAAAAAGAGAAATGGCAGACAATAGAAACAGACATACAGATAATCCAAGTTTAAGTTTAGCAGACAATGGTATTTTAAAACAACTGCAATATGTTTGAGAAATAAATGAAAATATGGATCAAATAAGTGAAAGGATGGAATATAATGGAAAATTGGAATCTATAAAAAGGTTAAAATTGACATTCTAGAACTGAAAATAGAAAAATAGAATGTACAAAATAAAGAATACTATTGATAAGTTTAATAACAGATTGAATACAGCAGAACACAAGACTAGTAGATTGAAACGTCAGTAAATAAAAATACTAAGTTAAGCACTGCAAAATAAAAAATATTGGGGTTGGGGGACAGAACAGGGAATAGCAGGTAAATGTAAAATGCTCAAAATATCTATCACATTTATAACTGATATCCCTAAATGAGAGAAAAGAATGGGGCAGAAACAATTTGAAGAGATAATGGATGAGATAATTTCAAAACTAATATGAGACATTAATGCACAGTTTCCAAGAAGCTCCATGAACCCAAAGCAGGATAAACCAAAGCTAAAGAATAAAGCTTCAAAGTAGACAAAGTGGGAAAACGTTGCCTTCAAAGAAACAATATTCAAAATGACAGCACGCTTCTTAACAAAAAATAATGTAAACAAGAAGGAAATTAAAAGGCATCTCCAAAGGGCTGACAAAATGACTGCTAACCTAGAATTCTATATCCAGTGAAAATAACATTCAAAAATCAAAGTCAGCATGAACAAATGTGTAGACAATAACTGAGCTCAGTTACTTCCCAGTCATAAATGAAAGAAAAGCTGAGAGCTCTTCAAGCAAAATAAAAATTATTCTAGAAGGAAATATAAAAATACAAAAGGAAGTGAAGATCACCAGTAAGAATATATATAAATAAATACTGGAGGTATATAAATATATACAAATGAAGGTGAACACTATACAAATAACATATGTGAATAATGGTATGAGTAGGCGTAAACAGGGTATTGCCTATAGATAGCAATAATTGTGATATTTTGTGAAATTTTAATTACATTTAGAAAAAAGTTTTAAAAAGAAGATAATGTAAAGGTAGAAAGTAAGTAAAAAGATTTTAGAGATTTGAAGTTTTTACCACTACTGGGGAAATATGAAAATTAATACTTTGCATTAGTCTATAATAAGGAGATGACACATATTATAATTTCTACAGTAACCAATAAAAGATAGTAAAACAATGTATAACTAAAATATTTAATTAGCATTAGAATAGTAAAAAGGTAACATAATAATAGAAAAGGAAAAAAGTAAAGATAAAAGAAACATTAAAAATATGAATAAAATAGAAAATAGTAATAGTATGATCATTTTAAGCCCAACTATTTCAAAGTTGCATTAAATACAAATGAATTAAATACCCCAAGGAAAAGCGTAATATTGTCAAACTGGATTTAAAAATAACAACTACAGTTTAATGTTGTATTATAAGAGACTGACTTTGAATAACAACAAATATGAGAAATGGTGCTTAGCATAATTCTTACCATCACTAGTCACTGGGAACATAAAAATTAAAACTACAATGAAATACAAAGACACCTACCCAAATGGCTAAATTTTAAAATGCTAATAGCATCAAATTTTGTTGATTAGGTGGAAAAATGGGAACTCTCATACAGTGCTAGGAAAAGTATAAATTGGTAAGGCCAAGAAGGACAACTATTTGGCACTGTCCACTAAAGTTAAGTATACGCTCTTTTTATGATTCAGCAAATCCACTTCTAGGTATATATCCAACAAAACTGTCTGTGTATGTGCACGAGAAGACATATATGAGAATGTTCATAATAGAATAATTCAAGATAGTAGAAATTAAATATAACCCAAATGTCCAAAAAAGTAGATTAAATTGTCTTACACTTGTATAACCAAATATATAAAATAAATTTACTACAGCTAGTCACAAAAATGTGATGGAATATCATAAACATAATATTAATCAGCAGAAACGAAACCCAAACAATATCTTTAAATGATTCCAATTATATAAGTATACCAAAGCTAATAATGGCGAAACTTAAACTGTACGCTAGAGGTCAAGGTCAAGATTGTGGTTATTTGTAGGGGAGAATGTAGAAAGATTGGGAAAGGACATTAAAGAGTCTTCTCTAGTATTGGCAATGTTCCCATTTTTTTTTTTACCTAAATAGCAGTTACATACTTCAGGGTAATTCATTAAGCTAAGTGATTATAATTTGTTCTTTTTTTAAAGATGAGTATGTCAATAGAGAAATTTCAAAAATTATAGAAATGGATCTGTGTTTGTGAGATAACACTGCTGGGCTTAATACATGAGCTGAAACATTAAGCAAAGATTTATGAAATAATTCTTCCAGTAGACATCTTTTTGGCAGACATGGAAATGCAACAAGACAATGTGGGCTGAAAACACAGAGGATGAAAGAGGGACAGTTGCAAGGGACGGTAGGCAGCACCAGAAGATGCTTGTTATTATAAAAGGAGCAAATCTATGAAATTCTCTCTATATCAAATCACAACATAGTAATATGAAAATAAATGGAGGCTTTTAACTTATCACTTAAGAAAAATGGTTTTTCTAGGTTGTTTTTCCATCTACAAAGCTGATTTGACTAAGCCTGTTGAAAATAATAGTCAGTTGCTATCTAGTGTACAGTCACAAAGTTTGGAGATGAAAATTATCTCTTTATTTGATCTATGCAAAAAGATATCACATTTAGAAAGTCATATAATTTTGATAATGTAAATGTTTAATTTTTAGGTAGTTATTTAAACAACTGTGTAGGGATTTGGCTTAATGAATGCTGAAGAGGCAGAAGAGAGAGAGAAATTCATAGTTGTTCAGTTGAAGTTCTGCATAACTTTTTAATGGAAGTCCTGACTGCACAAATCGGGACTACAGAACTTCGGGTCTCCAGGTTTCTAACTCAGATATGTCAGGAAAACTTCTTTCATTTGCCAAAATAGCAATAATCACAACACTTAATATTCCTGGCACTGTGCTGCAGTAGGGATACAAAACTGAAATACACTACAACATAACTTTATAAAGTATACCATTAGAAAATGGAGCTATAATCATCATATTACTCTCAGGAAAAATAAACTTGTGATATTCTAGGAAACATATGCAAAGCCGAACTATGATTAAAATTCCCCATTTTACTATTATAATGTTACTAGTATTTGTTTACTATTATTGTAAATTTATTTTATATTATTTATATAAATTTGCTTTATATTATGTATATCTGAATAATATAATTGTGTATTATTATATAATATGTAATATTTGTTTATAATTCATATATTTATTTCATAAATTTATTTCCTATGACTATAATATTCACAATTATTATAAAGTTCACTATTACTTACCCAATTCCAACTTCTCATTTGCATCCTACTTTTTAAAGAATTTCCATTTTTATCATTAAAACCTGGTTTATTACCAGCAAGCAGAATGTCTTTAATTGAATCCATTTATTCAAACTACAAAAATACAAGGTTCTTGGATATTAAGTCCAAAAATGTGTTCAGATTCAGTTTGCAGATTATTAAATCTTACTAAAGTCCATTAAAGGATACCAACATGAGGCAAATGTTTATACTATTATTTTAATCAATAAAGCCTTAATATCCAGAATGTATAAAGAATTCTGGCAAATCAATTAGGAAAAGACATATGAGCCAATGAAATATAAATACACAAAAAAATAAAATAGAGGCATTTCACAGAAAAGAAAATAAGAGGCCAGAGAAAGATTTTTGACGTAACTAGTAGTCCTGGAAATATAAATTAAAACCAAATCAAGATATCGTTTTATACTCACCAAAATGATTAAAAGATAAGAAGTCTAGCGATATTGCTTTGGCAACAATGTGTAATCCTGGAGATTTTTATATATCATTAGCAGGATGTAAATTACTGTAACTACATTAAAAAACAATTGAACACTTTAGCAATTTCTTATACAATTGAAGATGGGCATACTTTACCATTAATCAGTTCCACCCTCAGGCATATGGCTCATAGATGCACATGTGCACAGAGATATGAGTATTATGAACAAAGCAACATTGTTAGTAATGTTAGCAAAAAATAACAGCAGACAATCCAAATGTCCAAAAACAGAAAAATGAAAAACTACAGAATATTAATATTAAAAATATTTTATGAAAATGATTGACTTAATACCATAAATGACTCTCCCAAGTATAATTTGACTTTTTCTCTTATTTCTTTTTTTAAAAATTTTATTTTATTTTAAGTTCTGGGATACATGTGCAGGATGTGCCGGTTACACAGGTAAACATGTGCCATGGTGGTTTGCTGCACCTGTCAACCCATCACCTAGGTATTAAGCCCCACATACATTAGCTATTTATCTTAATGCTCTCCCTTCCCCTGCCACCCTCCCCAGCAGGCCCCAGTGTTTGTTCTTCCCCTCCCTGGGTCTGCATGTTCTCACTGTTCAGTTCCTACTTATAAGTGAGAACATGCGGTGTTTGGTTTTCTGTTCCTGTGTTAGTTTGCTGAGAACGATGGTTTCCTGCTTCATCCATGTCCCTACAAAGGACATGATCTCATTTCTTTTCATGGCTGCATAGTATTCCATGGTGTATATGTGCCACATATTCTTTATCCAGTCTATCATTGATGGGTATTTGGGTTGATTCCATGTCTTTGCTATTGTAAATAGTGCTGCAGTGAACATACACGTACATGTATCTTTATAATGGAATGATTTATATTCCTTTGGGTATATACCCAGTAATTGGACTGCTGGGACAAGTGGTATTTCTGGTTCTAGATCTTTAAGGAATCACCACACTGCCTTCCACAGTGGCTGAACTAATTTACATTCCCACCAACAGTGTAAAGGCATTCCTATTTCTCCACAGTCTTGCCAGCATCTGTTGTTTCTTGACTTTTTAATAATCACCATTCTGACTGGTGTGAGATGATATTTCACTGTGGTTTCGATTTGCATTTCTCTCATGGTCAGTGATATTAAGCTTTTTTTTTCATATGTTTATTGGCTGCATAAGTGTCTTCTTTTGAGAAGTGTCTGTTCATGTCCTTTGCCCACTTTTTGATGGGGTTGTTTGCTTCTTCTTGTAAATTTAAGTTCCTTGTAGATTCTGGATATTATTAGACCTTTGTCAGATGGGTAGATTGCAAGAATTGTCTTCCATTCTGACTTTTTTCTTTTAAAATGAATTTTAATAAAGCTCACAAACAAAATAAAATAATATAATGTTTAAGGAACAGAACAACATAAACATCAGAATAGTAGTTACTGCTCAGAGCAAGGGTACAGGAGAAGGGTATTTAAGATCTGCGCTGGCAATGTTCTAGATCAGGGCTCAGCAAACTATAGCCGTGGGTCACATCTGGCCTGATGCCTGTAAGGTTTTATTGGAACACATTCATTTACATATTGTGTATAGTGGCTTTCATGCTACAAAGGCAGACTTCAATGGTTGTAATAGAGATCCCATCTAGTCTACAAAACCCAAATATTTCCTATCTGGTCCTCCACAGAAAGTATTTACCAATCTCTATTCCAGTTCATAAATTCAATGATAGGCTCCTGGCTCATTATGCTTCATAACTTACATTTGTAACTTAGATATGTTACATATATTCTTTTGTATATGTTACATAATTGTTTCAAAACAGTGTTCTTATAGAAATACATTTTTACATTAGATTACTTGGATTGGCGATTCTTCTTCTCTTTTTTTTTTTTTTTTTGAAACAGATTCACTCTGTCGCCCAGGCTGGAGTGCAAGTGGCATGATCTCAGCTCACTGCAACCTCCACCTCCCGGGTTCCAGTGATTCTCCTGCCTCAGCCTACCGAATAGTTGAGATTACATGTGCCTGCCACCATGCCCAGCTAATGTTGGTATTTTTAGCAGAGACGGGGTTCCACCAAGTTGCCCAGGCTGGACTTAAACTCCTGACCTAAAATGAACTGCCCACCTCAGCCCCCCAAACTGATTACAGGCGTGAGCCACCGTGCCAGGGAATTGTCAAGTCTTTATATCAATGTGGCTGGGGGGAAACTTCATCACGCCAGCACCCTATCCTAAGGTCATCACTTTTCATTCGATCAGTAATGCAAATTATCTGCTCCCAGTCGTGGGGAGAATCAGCAAAATGGGCCTAACAAATAAGGAAGATAATAAGAATTACAATAACATCCCAACGCAAAAGGTAGTTGGTACATTGGTCTCCTGGGGCTACCATAACAAAATAGCTCAGACTGGGTGGCTTTAAACAACAGAAATTTATTCTCTTACACTTCTGGAAGCCAAACGTCTGAAATCAAGGTGTTGGAGGATGGGTTTCTTCTGGAAGCTCTGAAGAATCTGTTCCATGCCTCTCCTAGCTTCTAGTGGTTGCTGGCAATCCTTGATGGTCCTTGGCTTGTAGACACATCACTGTGATCTCTGCATCTGCCTGCACATGGCTTTTCTCTGTGTGTATCTTTGAGTCTTCACATGACCTTCTTACAAGGACTCTAGTCATTGGGTTAAGAGCCCACCCTAATTCAGTATGACCTCATTTTAACTAATTACTTCTACAAAGATTCTATCTCCAAATAAATTCATATACTGAGGTTTAGGCTGACATAAATTTTGGGGGTAAACTATTCAACCCAGTACCCCTATTATCCCCAAATGAATAGACTGCACTTCTGTGCTAAAGTATAGAAAATTCTTAAACTCCTTATCACATTCCTGGCAAGTATATTGTTCAGGAGTATTTAAGGAAGACAGAAACTACTCTAAACAGTTAAAATAGAAGGAATATAGTAAAAATAATTGGTTACAGTGGTGTTTGAAGAAGTCAAGCATGGGACAATGAGTCAACCTGGACATTATTAGCACAGAAGGAAGCCACTCTCACTCCTTGACTGGAGAGAGTGTGGAAGTGATGTTCTCAGCATCCAGGGATCAGGATAACACAACAGTAGCTAAAGCAGCAATGAACCTGTCAGGTGGAAATTGCAGCCACTGAGGATAGGAAGCAGCTAATTGAGATAAAATAGCGGGGTGGGAATAGGGAGGAGAGCAGGCTGGGGATAATCTGCCCCATTCTTCCGCTGCCCTTTAAATTCCCACCCAGCCTCCCATTCGCCACACCCAACTGGAAGCCAACATCTGGTGGATAAAGCAGGCTACAGGTGTTCACTTCACCTTCAAACAAAAGCCAAGCAAGGAAAGGCTACAGTGGGTCAGAGGTCAAACAGGCCATGACAAGCCCAGCAAACCGAAACAAAGGTTAAAAAAATTCCCAGACACTTATAATTAGAATGAAAGATTAAAATCAAACGTTTTAAGAGGTATGCTGGACCTCAAATGCTTCTACTCTGTTCAGGCTTCTCACTGATAGGAAATTTCACTGTATTAGCAATCCCAGCTACTCAGGAGGCTGAGGCAGGAGAATCACTTGAACCCAGGAGGCAGAGGTTGCAGTCAGCCCAGATCGTGCCACTGCACTCCAGCCTGGTGACAGAGCGAGACTCTATCTAAATAAATAAATAAATAAATAGAAAATTCTTAGAAGAGCATAGTACATTTTTTTAAATGTTGACTACCGTGTACAACTTAATATGTTAAGTATGGTATTAACCTAAGATTCCAAATACCTGTTTGCTCATTTGACCTCTTTTCTGGGCTTGTTTTGAGCTTATATAAAAGCATTCTCTGTATAAATGGCCACGTTAATAAAGCAAGAATAATGTATGTCTACTTTTCCCTTTTTCCTTCTTCCCATTAGAATTAAGGAAAGGAAAAAGCATGAAAACATACAAACGTACTCCTCCTTAAGAATAATCCACTTACACATTCTGACTCAAATTTTCTTTTTTTTTTTTTTTTTTTTTTGAGACAGAGTCTTACTCCGTTGCCCAGGCTGGAGTACAGTGGCGCGATCTCGGCTCACTGCAAGCTCCACCTCCTGGGTTCAGGCCCTTCTCCTGCCTCAGCCTCCCGAGTAGCTGGGACTACAGGCGCCCGCCACTACGCCCGGCTAATTTTTTGTATTTTTAGTAGAGACGGGGTTTCACCATGTTAGCCAGGATGGTCTCGATCTCCTGACGTCGTGATCCACCCGCCTCGGCCTCCCAAAGTGCTGGGATTACAGGCATGAGCCACCGTGCCCGGCCTCTGACTCAAATTTTCTAAACAATTTTAAAGTGTTTCAAAGCACTTTTAATTTCTTACAGAACTGCAAAAAGACTGTGTTCACCATTCATAGATTTGATAAATAGTATGGAAATGTTATCAACTTGATATTTTGTGAAATGTCAATAACCTGAGTGCAACTCACCACATCTATTAAGAAAAATCTAAAAAAAAAAAAAAAAAAAAAAAAAAAGCATTGATGAAATGGATTGGTTCGAAAGCTATTAAAACCCTCCACATTTTGGACAGATACCAATTCTTCATGTCATTTTAAATAAATGACATAATAATAAAATAAATACTCACTGATATTTGAATTGCTTTGATGCAAGCCCATTCCTGGAATGATGGAAGCACAAATTATTAGGATTCTGATAATTTTGTGCAACTTGAGTGATGACAATATCACATGCAGACAACTGAAGATGGCCAAGACATGGACTTTGCTGGAGAATCTGCAACCTAAAACATAATTTACAACATCCCTGGCAGATGGCACAGAGTTGTCCAGTCGTCTTTGGCAAATAGCAAGAGATCTATTTAAAGCTGTCCTTTAGATCTTTTTTTGTTTTTTGAGAAAGAGGCTTGCTGTCACCTAGGCTGGAGTGCAGTGGCACAGTCTCAGCTCACTGCAACCTCCACCTCCTGGGTCAAGTGATATCCTGCCTCAGACTCCTGAGTAGCTGGGACTACAGGCATGTGCCACCATGCCCAGCTAATATTTGTATTTTTAGTAAAGATGGAGTTTCACCATGTTGGCCAGGCTGGTCTCAAACTCCTGACCTCAGGTAATCCGCCCACCTCATCCTCCCAAAGTGCTGGGATTACAGACATGAGCCACAGTGCCCGGCTAGCTGCCCTTTAGATCTTAAAGACTTGATAAACAGCAAGAATTCACAGGTTTGGGGTTCTTTACTAGCTAAGCTTTTGCTGGTCATTTGCCTCCATCTCAGTAAAAGTACAAATAAATGGCCAATATATTCCTTAATGATGACATTTATAAAAAGCATTAATGAAATGATTTTTCAATGGAAATTATCTGGAAAAAATGTCATTTAGACAAATGCACTGTCAAGCAATCCTGATAATTTTCTTAAAATTTAAATAAAACACACAATTTGATACTTTTAGACCATAAAAGAGATATATTTATTTAAACATTGCTCTGTGATCTTCAAAGGTGTGATTGAAACACAAATTAATGGACTTTTAGGCCCAGTAAATTGCTTTCGTTCCCTTTTGTTTCATTCACATTTATTTTTTAAAAACGTACTTTGAGAGTAAAGCAAGCCAATAAAAGACCCATTTGAAGTATAATTATAATTTGTTGATCAAACAGTAAATTTTACTATGCAATTAAGCAACCTGGTTATATAAAAAACAAGCATAATTGAATTATGCCTCAGTTTGAATTTCCGATTGTTTTCAGGGATGGATAGGCGGGAATAGGCTTTGTAGAGGTTAGGAACCCAGGCTTTGGAGTCAAGTACATCTGGATTAAAAACCAAGCTCTGCCTTCTAATATCTGGGAAGTTACTTAAACTAAGCTTGGTTTCACTGTTTTTTAAATGGGCTGGTAATTGTACATTATACCTTTCTTTTCAGAAGTAAATGGCATGGTGTCTATAAAGTGCTCAGAACCTAATACTGAATAATTGCTCAGTAAATAACTTTACAATATTTTTTATATCATTATTGAGGCATGAAGTTATAAAATCCCTAATTACCTGGTTGTCCCAAACAGTAACTAAAACAAGCAACTTCAAATGTCAGTCAGGTCAATTCAGTTCAAAGTACATCCTTAAATTATCTGTAGAAAATCTTTTATGAAAGGAGAAAGCCCAATCAATTCTGTTCTAAGAATTATTTAGTGTTCAAATTCTCAGCAAGTTTTAGGAAACAGGTTATGCTAAGCACGAAGCAGGGAAGAGCCCCAGATATGAATGCATGGCTCAGCAGCTGTTGAATGGACAATTGGGGTTTAGCCAGAAGGGTGGGGAGAAATACCTGGGGGGCCAAAGTCTTGCAAACATCACATCGAAAAATGTTTAGTCTTTCAAGGCCTTCTATACATCTAACTTTACGTTGATGGCAAAACTGAATTTACACTACAGAATGAACTACAGGCTAAGTTAATGTATCTTAAATACACAGGTACTACAGTAAGGTCTAACTACACTGTAGTTATAGTTACGAGGGCTGTGCAGTTAAAGGTGGAATCAGGAAGAACGGCTAACATCTAATGGTGAGGAAAACAACTTCAGCCGAGTGTGTAAGTCTAGAAGGGAGGATGAAAGGGATGTTTTAAGGTGAGGAAATAGTTCCCTCGCGGGGTTAAGGGTAAACCAGGAATGGCTTGGATGTTCTCATTCAGGTTATCATCTAGCTTTATTTATTTGTCTCATCGGATTGAGAGCATAGGCTCTGGAGTCAAACATAGCAGTTTGCAGGCATTGGCTAACCCTCACAGCCTCAGTTTCTACACTTGCAAAGTGGGAATAATAATACCTGACTCAGAATTCTTTCAAAGCCTAAAGAAGACAATATATAAAAGCCGTAGTAAAACAGGAAATTTTCCCGGACCCCTTCACGGGGCTGGCAAAAGGGGTGGCTCGTTTACTCAGCCTGCAACTCTCAACCCCTCACAGGAGGAGGAGCACGCAGGTGAGCAGGTACAGGGGCCAGGACAAGTGCTTCTGGGCGCTGGCAGGAGCAGAACTCCCTGAGGCCCCATGGCAGCATCTAGGGGGGTACCTGTGACCCCCTGGAGCCCCAGAGGGTGTGTGTTACAGTGCACTCTTTCAGCTTTGCTGTCCACGGGGGGGGGCTTCAGTGTTTAACAGCTCAATGTGACAGCCGTCTGTATCCCAAGCTCTTGTTTGGCATCTGGGAATAATCAGGTTGTATGAACAAATTGAAGATGGTAAATGCAGGGAATTTTATTGCTGATGAAAGTGGTTTTCAGTGGGATGGAGAGCTGGGAAGGGGATGGAGCAGGAAGGTGATCTTCCCCTGGAGTTCAGCTGTCCCCAGCCAAACTTTTCTCCAAGATACCGCCATCAAGCCCCACCTCTGAAGTCAAGCTGCTTCTCACCAACGTCAAGCTCCTTCCTCTCTTCTCTCCTCTCTGCCACTCTGCTGTCAGAGTAACCCGAGGTTTTTACGGGTACAGGATGCAGGGCAGGGCAGGCCATGGGTGGGTTTAGAAAAGGCAACATTCAAGCAGGAAACAGGAATGCATGTTCTCACTTTGAGCCACAGTTCCAGGTTTGAGGGTAGGGCTTCACCAGGGACCCCGCCCTCTTCTACCCAGTATTTCCCTGCCTCCTGTCTGTATCACTAGAACCAAGTCATCAGCCATTCAAGTAATCACTATTATTTCATTCTGAGCCAGCCATTGACATGCTTTGATAATTCAGGTTCAACTTTTCATGTTTGCATTTGAAAGGAATAATGAAAGACTCTCCACCTCTTCAATTTCCTACATTCTCAAGAATAATGCAAAAACTATTAGGAACAAAAGTAACTGGAAATGGTCCATTCATTTCTCTTCTAGTAACATTTCCTAGGGGGATAATTTGAAATATCAGCAAAGGTTTATGTACAAAGACATGAATATGCTTAACAATTACGCTTACCAAGACTTTTTATGCCACCAAAAAATTCTAATAATGCCTGAGAAGAATCAGATTCAAAATTTTATCTGCAGCCTGAACTCAGCCATTTTAAAATGCATAGAGAATAAAGGACAGAAACAAAGATGTGCTTTGAAACTGACCTCTACCTTCTGAACAATGCCTCCTGCCATAAGCTTTCTTCTGTGTGAGGTTTCAGATCTTCCCAGCTTTAGGCAGGGACATAGTACCTTCTGGGCCAAAGGTTGCCTGGAAGACTCTCTTATATTATTTGGAATCTCTTTGCTTATAATTGCTTCCTATCATTTGTAATTACACATGGTAAACTCTTAATGGCTGATAGTAAAAACTGTTTGCTGCTACAATGGTGCATTGAAATATATGAAGTCATGTTTATCCCATGCAGTAGAACAATTTCTTCATTCTCTGAAATTCTTGAAACAACAACAAAAACCATTGCTTCTCTCCAATTCCTTCTGTTCCCACTCTTCTAGCAGCATCTCATACACAGACTATTGAAAGAGTTTCAGCACTACTGTTCCTGCTAATGAACTCCATCTCTCTCATCCGTTGTGTGACCACAAAGAAATCATCCCAAGCCAAGGTTTAAATTATATTATTCTCATAATAGATGCCTATTTCCTAATTAACAAAACCATACTTTTTGCAATTTTGCATTAGTCTCAATTTTTTAATCACTTCTTCCCCAGAACACAAGATCCCTGGTCAATCTAAATTCTGCTGCATTCCCCTGGAACATATGCTAGATAAAAATATTTCAAATGAAAAAACGAATACAACAGCCAAAATGCACCCATCATTCCTCCACAATCCCATATAATCTAGCATCTATCATGTGTGTAGACCCTATCAGACCACTTTGTAGTGTAACTACTTCTGCCCCCGTATTGTTCTCTAAGTATAAATTACTCGAATACAGGGAATGGTTTACACAGTTTTGTTTTCATAGTAATAACTCATGTTATCCTTGATCATGTCCATGATTATTCTGTGCATGTCAGTCTTATCTCTCACCAGGACTGTTCTCATTGCCGTTCTCTGTTAATTTATAGTGTGGCTGAGGGTGAGTCAGAGCTTCTCTTAACCATAGCTTCCCGGCCTGTAAAAGGAGACAGTTAGACTGTGTGATTCCTAAAGCCCTTTCTAACTCCAACAAGCTACGAATATTTTAGGGCCCGAAGGTAAAGGACCACGAAGTCAAAAATGGTCCAGGTTTCCAAATGACTTTCAGTTCAGTGTGCTCCATTAATATGTGAGTGAGCAAGTCAGTTGTTATGCATTGCAGGTAAAGCTTATTTATATTCAGAACATTGGGAAGTTTCCATGTAATACACAAGAAATGTCTAGCATGCCAATGAAGTTTCTGTCCTTTGAGGACTGTCCAACTTGAGAAACAGAACAACAAAATCAAAGAACTCCTAGAGGTAAAACGTGTCAATCTTTCATGTCTTCGGGTAAAGACACGAACAGGCTTCCTATCAGACATGAATAAAGTCCTTTAACGCAGATATAGTTTTACTGTCCTTGCCAATGATGCAATCCAAAATCCAAATTAGTATTAGAATTTCCAAGGCTTTTGTGTTTAAGGTTTTTAGTTTTTTAAAAAGGTATCTAATAATAATTTACTATGTCTTCAATCTATATTTTCTAAGTATCTATTGTATCCCAGCTCTGGATTCTACATACTAGCTACGTGAACTGGGGCAAGTTATTGAATTTACTTGTGCTTCAGATCCCTCATAAGTTGAATGAGGACAACAATTGTTCGCATTTCACCAGCTATGGTGTGAATTAGAATTAATATACATAAAACTCTAGAACACAGACTAGTACATAGTTAACCAGTGGTCTTTTTTTTTTTTTTTTTTTTTTTGAGATGGAGTCTTGTTCTGTTGTCTAGGCCTGAGTGCAGTGGTGGCATGATCTAGGCTCACTGCAACCTCCCCCTCCTGGGTTCAAGTGATTCTCCTGCCTCAGCCTCCCAAGTAGCTGGGATTATAGGTGTACACCACCATGCCCAGCTAATTTTTGTATTTTTAGTAGACAGGTTTCACCATATTGGCCAAAGTTAACCATTTTTAAGTGATTTATTTAATTATTGGCATTACTGTTATTCTGTTATTGTTATTTTTCCATGTAAGGCACTCCACTAAATGTGTTGAAGGATTAAAAATATATATATATCACAAAGCATACTATCTATATGTTGCTTCTCAAAAACTTTAATATCATAGAAGAGGTAAAGATACTAAAAGAAGAAAGTGATGATGCCACATAAGACATAAAGATAAAATGCCATGAAAATTAAGAAAATAATTACTTACTGAAACTTCCACTATAGACCTTAAAACAGCATGTGACTTTTTACAACATGCTTTTGGTTCCTCTCTGCCCCCACTCCGACTGCCCATGTTGGACTAAATGTCCCCTGGAAGGTAGGACGATGAGTAGTTCATCTTTGACTCACCTTGCCTTGCACAGAATACAATATAAAGGAAGGCATCAATAAATCTTGGTTTAATGGAATAAAAGTCTTGTAATCAAGCAGATAGCATTTGACTGTAAACTGAGCATCCAAATAGAAAAGTCTAAGAAGGAATTAGAAAAAGCAGAATTTTTAAAGTTTCTTAAGTAGAGAAAGGCCTGTATACTGAGATTTTTGCTTTCAGAAAAGAGTCTCATAGTTGTCTGCAGAATGAACTGGGAAAGAAAAAATAAGCCAGAAGGACATTTAGATTTTCCTGTGTTAACTCAAAATCTTCAATTTCCCAAGTTTTACATCTTTAATATGATTTATATAAAACACTTCAATCCATTATCGAAGTGGTATTACTTGGTTCATTATGAAAATGAAATTAGTACTTTCTACATGTGAGGCTGATGCCGAAGTTACATCAGTTATAAGATAAAATCAGCACTGTAGATACTGTCAGAAAGAAGGATCTTAGAACAGAAACTCAGCTGAGAAAATTTTATTAGGAATTCCATGATTGTGACTTTCTGTATATCTAGGGCTACCTACAAGAATTGGAATATAATCTACAGCCTTTTCAAAGTAATTTAGAGCAACAGCTTTACAGTAAGATAGAGAATGGAATTAATAAATTAGTCTCTTTTGTACTGCAGGCATTGCAGAAGCTTGGTTAAAGTAAAATGTCACCCCTTTGTGATACCTCACAAATCATCCCCTGCACCTGCCAAAATTTGGAGTCATTTGCAACATGCTTTCACACATCACAAGATAATCACTTATTTTCTTTTTCCCTGAAAGTTCAGAGTAATTGAAATGTTGGTTCCTTGTATCTCTGAAAATATGGTGAGAATTTTGTTTCTGGCCATTTGGGGACTAACATTCTAATCCCTCTACCCCAACCCATGACACACAAAAAAAGATACATTTTTTTAAAACCCACATACTTTTAAATGCATTGTTAAGCTAAAAACAAAGTCCAGAAAAATTCCCAAAGGCAAAAAAAATGATGATAATAATAATAAGCCACAAACACAGTGAGAAAGAGAATATGAAGTTGGAAAGGTCCTGGAGGCAAATGCCAATAAGAGGAGCCTCAAGCTTTGGGGACTGAGATCATGGCAGCTGGATAACTGAGGATTAGACTGTGGGTTTTTGCCAGAGTAACGACTGCTGGACATAAGCCCCCCATCAAAACAAACAACTCTATAAAGACACATGCACACGTATGTTTATAGCGGCACTATTCACAATAGCAAAGACTTGGAACCAACCCAAATGTCCAACAACAATAGACCGGATTAAGAAAATGTGGCACATATACACCATGGAATACTATGCAGCCATAAAAAATGAAGAGTTCATGTCCCTTGTAGGAACATGGATGAAACTGGAAATCATCATTCTCAGCAAACTATCGCAAGGACAAAAAACCAAACACCGCATGTTCTCACTCATAGGTGGGAACTGAACAATGAGAACACACGGACACAGGAAGGGGAACATGAGACTCCGGGGACTGTTGTGGGGTGGGGGAAGGGGGGAGGGATAGCATTAGGAGATATACCTAATGCTAAAGGACAAGTTAATGGGTGCAGCACACCAACATGGCACATGTATACATATGTAACAAACCTGCATATTGTGCACATGTACCCTAAAACTTAAAGTATAATAAAAAAAATAAAAATAAAAATAAAAATAAACCTCTAACGAGGTGGAAGAATGACCTGGGCAACTCAGGCCTGCAGCAGAGTTAAGAGAGCTAAGAAGAAAACTTGTCTGTCCCAGCTTCAGTTAAAGGAGAGAAATATATTAGAAGAATAAAAATAGTCTCATAAAAAATTCTAACCATAGAATGCCACCACATGTGGCTGGGGCTTGGTTTCATATCATGTGTATGATTTGGGGAAGCAGAAGCCAAAATATTAATTAAAGTAGACCGAGTATGACAACACAAATCCTCTTGGGAAGAAAGCATCTTCCACTGAGCCCCAGTGTGATTTTCTAAAGTGAAATATTAGACCAAAATAATTATCAATTACATAAGAAAACAAGATATCTTGAGAGTCAGTAAAAATAACAAAGAGATTCAGAGCCCCAATACACAGAATTTTATGTTAATAATAATTTAATATCATTTTATAATAGATATTTAACACAATTTAATACATTAATATAGCATAATGTTATATACTATTAATAATACATTAATATATTGATATTAATATAAATATGTAATATATCAATCTAATTAAAATTAATGTTATCATATTAATATTATATTATCATAATGATAATATATTCATTATATAATTATCATTATACAGTTATAATTTATTAATATGTTATTTTATAATAATCATAATGTAACTGTATAATTGCATTATGGTAATAATTTTTATTATCATAATTATATTATGATAATATGTTATTATAACATTTAATTATTTAAAATAATTATTGTAAGGTAATTATAAAATATAAAGTAAGGATATTTTTATATTATTAATATTAATACCATTTTATATTATAATATTCTAGTACTAATACATGGAAGTTTATATTAATACTAGAATACACAGAATAGAAAATAATCAAGGATTAAAATGTTTAAAGAATAAAACCATAGCCAAGGGTCAGGAGAATATTAAAAATTACCAAGCAGTTTTGACAAAGAACCAAGTAAAACTTCTAAAGATTAAAAAAAAAAATCATTGAAGTTCAACACTCAGGGGATGAGTTAACCAGCACATGAAACAAAACCAAAGGAAAAATTAATTAAGTATACCTGAAGAAATTAGCCAAATGCAGCCCAAAAAACAAGATAATTTAAGAGGTCTGGAGAATAGGATGAGAAGTTTTAACATATATCTAATCACAGTCAGAAAGAACAAAGAGGTTAGGGCATAGGCAATATCTAAAGAATAATGTCTAAGAATTTTCTAGAAATTATAAGCTTAGAAATACTCAAGCAAGGTTTCATTTAATAAAGAAAAAGAAACAGAAAAATCACAGCATAGCCACAGCATAGTAAAAATTCAGAAAGCCAAAGACAAGGAAAACATCCTTTAAAAAGTCATAAAAAGACAAAAGAATGAAAGAAAGATAAAGAAACAAAAGAATCAATAGCACGATTAAATGAAATGGAAGCCAAAAATAAAAGTACAGTATATTCCATTTATCCTTGTCACATCAGTGAGCATGAGCCTCACCACTTGGGACCCTCTGTAATTGCCTCAAAAAGAGACCCCCCCCATATACAAGAAAACATAATATATGATAAAATAGGCATTGCAAATCAGTAAAGATGAATTGGAGCTTAAATAATCATGTTGGAAAAGTGAATTTATAAAACAGTGAGGCTGGAATAATTGATTAAACACATTAAAATAAAAAGAAATGGGAACTCTATCTCACATCATACAAAAAAATCAATTCTAGATTAAAGATGTAAATGTGACAGGAGATTTTTCCATTTTAAAAAACATATAGGTTAGTATTCTGGGGACCCTGTGGTAAGGAAGACTTTCTTAAACAGGATACAAAGCATAAAACATGACTGAAAAATAAATAAACTTGACTCATTAAAATTGTGAAGGTTTCTTTTTATCAACAGATATTTTAAAAGAAAATGTAAAATCAAATATCAGCCTAGAAGATACTATTGCAATCGGTAGAGCATAAGCATAAACAATTCTCATAAATCAAGAAGGAAAAGACAAATGACTAACTGAAAAACACGTAAAAATTAGAAATATGGCCCAGTGCGATAGCTCATGCCTGTAATCCCGGCACTTTGGGAGGCCGAGGAGGGCGGATAACTTGAGGTCAGGAGTTAGAAACCAGTTTGGCCAATGTGGTGAAATCCCGTCTCCTTTTTGTAAAAAAACCCCGCCTTTTTTTTTGTAAAAAAATACAAAAATTAGTCTGGTGGCACGTGCCTGTAATCCCAGCTACTAGGGAGACTGAGGCAGGAGAATCACTTGAACCTGAGAGGCGGAGGTTGCAGTGAACCTGAACCCAGATCGCGCCACTGCACTCCAGCCTGGATGACACAGGGAGACTCTGTCAAAAGGGGAGGGAAAGGGAAAGGGCAGCTTTTTTACCCAGAGTCTCCCGCTGTCCTCCAGGCTGGAGTGCAGTGGCGCAATCTCAGCTCGCCGCAATCTCCGCCTCCCGGATTCTCGCAATCTCAGCTCACTGCAATCTCCGCCTCCCGCGATTCCCATGCCTGGACGACAGAGCGAGACTGCATGTAAAAAAAAAAGAAGAAGAAGAAGAGGAGGAGGAGGAGGAGGAAGAGGAGGAGGAGGAGGGGAGGAGGAGCAGCAGCAGCAGCAACCAAATGTTCATTGACAAGAGAATACATAAATAAATTCTTGTAGTTATACAGTGAATTACTACTTGTGAAGATTAATGAATTACTGCCCATACCAATAGCAAAGATGAACTTCCAAAGCTAATGATGAATAATGTAAGGGTAAATACAAATCAAAAAAAGAAAAAGGTTAACTTTCCCTGCCCCAAAAAGAGAGACACCCTTTTCCCCTTTTGCTTTCAGAGCATTTTCTTTAGAAAACTTGTTACGATAAATTCCTTCTATGTCCCTTTGAGATGTGTGTCAATCTTTTTAAAATCTAAATAAGCCTTTTGGCAACTTTACAAACTAGGAATCTCAAGGACCTGGGAGCCATCTCTTTGAAATGTAATTATAATGCAAGACAGTACCCTATCTCCCAGTTTCTGTCAGAGGCGTGGAGCCTCACTTAGGTGGGCACCTTACTCCAAGACTAACTACGTGCTGTCATAAAGGTATGAGAAGTTTAGTTTTTCCTTTGAATAACACCAATTATCCAAAGGATAATTGGAGAGGGTGACTGCAATGACCAGATGAATTTACCACAAGCTATGACAAATGATGCTGTCAAGTCCTTTTACTTGAAGAGTAGTCATTGCTTATCTTGAAAACATGTATGTGAGGGGTTGTATTTGTGTAGCTATATGGAAGAGTGAGATCTCTTTCTGTCTTTCCAATCTCTTTAGCAGATTGCCTGTGGTGTGCATCACATTGTGATTTAATGTTTATTCAATAATAAAACGGTCTTCCTCCTCTTCTACCTTTGTGGAGACGTTTGCTGGGTTGAAAGCTGTATTAGTCAGAGGTCTCCAGATAAACAGAACCAATTGTTCTGGCAAGTCCAAAATCTGCAAAGTGAGCTAGTAGGCTACAGATCCATGAAAGAACCAATGTTTCACTTCCAGTCTGAAGGCTTGCAAGCTGGATACCCAGGAAAGTCAATGTTCCAGTTCAAATCTGAAAGCCATTAGGCATGAACCCAGGGAGGATCTGATGTTGTAATTCAAGTCCAAAGGCCATCATCTGCTTGCAGAATTCATTTCCTCTTGGAGGAGGTCAATCTTTTGTTCCACTGAGAGCTTCAACTGATTGAATGAGGTACGCCACGTTATGCAGAGTAATCTGCTTTACCCAAAGTCTACCAGTTTAACCATCAATCTCATCCAAAAACATTTTTCACTGAAACATCCAGCATAATGTTTGACCACATATGTAGGCACCCTGTGGCCCAACCAAGTTAATACATAAAATTAACTATCACAAGTGCAAATCTTGTCAACTTCGCACCCATACACATCTTCTTAAGCCATATTAATCGCCAAATAACAACAATAATAAACCATATTAATCTCCAAATAACAATAATAAAATAATAAACTTCGCACCCATACACATCTTCTTAAACCATATTAATCTCCAAATAACAACAATAATAAACTCATACATGATAAAGTATTCTGCGTACAACAAAAAACATATTCTTTCCCCAGAAGAGGATACAAAGTTCTTGAGTGATGTTAACTCTTCTCCCTTATATTCTATAACTTAAATACTATGTTGTAAAATTAAAGAGTACTTAAGTACTATAAGTCAATATCTCCTACACTACATAATAACAGGATAACGGAGGGAAATAAAACAAAAATGCACAAATGCATTCACAACAAAATAAGGAAAAAATACTCATAACAATTACAGTCTTCACTTCTGTAACTGATCATGTGGTCATAGCCGATATTAATATGTATAGCTACCTTCTTCCGTTACCCATTCTGTATTCCTTTTGCCCTCAGCAAGTACCTCAGGTGGTCATGATTCTTTACGAGGTACAGTGATCCAAGCTTCCTTTCCTGAAGAGTCTGGGCCATTAGTAGTCCTGCCTGGATTGGGTTGTTGTCATTTTCTATTGACTATAATCACAGGGCATAACACTAAGACACACCCTAAGTGACTTCCTCTATTCCAGATATACTCTTTCTTGCTACCATTTTAGCAAAGCAGTCCAATTTCCCTTTGACAGTCGGGATCAGTTGTGCCAGCCAACACCATAACACCCTGCTTAGCCTGTTGACTTAGAGATATAAGGATCCCAAGGGGTCCAGGTGGCACTAAAGGTCACCCTTTAGTGAGCATTCACATAGTATACAAATATCTTCATGTTTTTTGCCCATTCAGAGAGGTCTGTCTATGTATCTCTCTCCCAGATTTCTTTATCACCAATTTTCCAATCCTGTTCCTTCCAAGCCCACGACTATGCAGCCAAACAATTGGCCATGGCTTATAAGTCAGTCTATAATTGCTCATCCAGCCAATTCTCCTTCCAAGCAAAATGAACAACCAGGTGCACTGCTGGAAGTTCTGCCCAGGGGGAAGATTTCCCTTCACCACTGTCCTTCAGAGGTGTCCCAGGAAAAGGCTGTATTGCGACAGTTGTCCAGTTTTGGATATTACATGCATATTATGCAAAACTATCTGTAAACCAGATTGAATTTATCCTTCCTCTGTTATTTGATCATATGGAACTCTCCATGAGGCTATAGGTTCATGCTGAAAGAGAAAAGAAAGTGGAGCAGGAGTGGGGACCATGGGCATTTGGGCCACTTCTTCATGTAACTTACTGTGCCTTCAGGGCCTACTTGGCCCTGATCACATGTACATCACCTCCATTTGATGATGGAGTGCTGCTATGTACATGTTATACATGCCCAACTTCAGGGCTTAGTATGAATTTTGGTGTACTATTTTTCTAGATCAGCTAAAACCCAGTACATAATGGACAGCTCAGCTTCCAAGGTAACTTGATGGCCCATAACTCTATTAAGGCCCAGAAGCAAGTTAAGAATTGTTTATGAAAAAGAGAGTAAAGGCCAGGGCAATGGCTTACGCATGTAATCTCAGCACTCTGGGAAGCCAAGGTGGGAAGATTGCTTGAACTCAGGAGTTCAAGACAAGCCTGGGTAACACTAAGAAAAAAAAAAAAAAAAAAAAAGCCAAAAAATATTAGCTAGGCACAGTGGTGTGTATCTGTAGTCCCAGCTACTCAGGCAGCTGAGGTGGGAGGATTGCTTGAGCTCAGTAGGTCAAGGTTGCAGTGAGCTGTGATTGCACCACTGCACTCCTGCCTGGGCCACAGAGCAAGACCTTGTCTCATTATAAAATTAAATTAAAATTTAAAAAGGAGAGTAGTTGTCATCTTTGATTCTCCCATAAGGGTCAGCCAAAGTCATCAAACAGCATTCCTACCTATGACTGATACCTCAGACTCCATTGGATCTACTGGATCATGTGGCCCAACTGGCAGAGCAGTTGGCAGAGCAGCCTGGACCTGTTGCAGAACCTTCTCTTTTTATGAGCCCGACTCAAAACTGTATGTATATGGCTGGAGTAACACATCCAAATGAGGAAGATGTGGCCTCTAAAACTTAAAGAGGCCCACTAGGCATTGAGCCTCTTTTTTTGTTGTAGGAAGAGCCAGAGGCAAACAATATATCCTTCACTTTAAAAGGAATATCTCAACATGTCCTATACCACTGGACCTCTAGAAATTTCACTGAACTAGAAGACTCCCAAATTTTAGACCGATTTATATCCCACCCTCTTACATGCAAATGTCTTACCAATAAGTCTAGTGTGATTTCTACTTCTTGCTCTCTAGGTCTAATCAGCAAAATGTCATCAATGTAATGGACCAGTGTAATATTTGGTGGAATGGCAAGTCTAACAAGATCCCTGCACTCTAAATTATGACACAAGGCTGAAGAGTTGATATACCACTGAGGTAGAACAGTGAAGATGTACTGGTAGCATTGACAGCTGAAAGTAAAATCTTTCTTATGGACCTTATGGGCAGGTATGGAGGAAAAGGCACATTTCAGATCAATAGCTACATATCAGGTGCCAGGTGTTAATTTGCTCAAATAATGAAATCACATTATCTAATACAGCAGCTGCAATTAGGGTCACCACCTGGTTAAGTTATAATAATCCACTGCCATTCTCCAAGATCCATCTGTCTTCTGCACAGGCAAAGTAAGTGAACTGAACAGGATTGTGGTGGGAATCACCACCCCTGTCTCTTTCAAGTCTTTGCTGGTGGCACTCATCTCTTGAAGCTCTCTAGGAACATGATACACATTTTAGTTTACTACTTTTGTAGATAAAGGCAATTCTAGTTGCTTACACTTATCTTTTCCCATCATGATAGCCCTGATTCCACACGTCAGAGAATCAATGTGGGAATTCTACCAGTTGCTGAGTATGTCTATTCCAATTATGAATTCCGGAACTGGGGTAACAACCAAGATGGCTTCGGGAATCCACTAGGCCCACAGACCTGAGCTAAAACTCCACTGATGACCTTCAGAAGTCCCTATTGGCTTACAGACCACAACAATGGTTTGAGTCTCTTGAAATCAGTACCACTTCAGTTAGTGTCCAGTAGTCCCCTAAAGTCTGATTAGTTCTTTTTCCCTTGTGCATAGCTACCATAGTAAAAAGCTGTAGTCCTTTGGGGGAAAGCTAGAAGAAAGGTTAACAGTATAAATTTTTAGCAGTGGACTAGGGTTCTTCCTCAAAGGGATTTAACTGCCCCTTCATTCAAGGGGCTCCGTGTCTATAAACTGGTTCAAATCTAATAATTGACATACGGGCCATGACTCTATGTTTTTGTGACTCAGGTTAGACTTTTTTTCTCTTGACCTAGAGCTTTCTTGCTTATATAGATCAAGAATGAATTTAATAGCCTTCCTATCTATTTCACCTCTGGGAACATAACATTTAACTAGCCAATCCCATAATCAGCATGAGTCAGACTAATGAATCACTGCTTTGCCTCTGCTGTTCATTACAGTAACTGTATCTACCTGCCTTAGGTTGTGAGTGCCACCACTTAGCCCCTACCACCCCAGGATGCAATTATTCCCATTGCATTTAGTTTTCCTAGTTCAGTGGCTGTAGCTCTCACTGTAAGTTCTGGCCTACAGGGAACAGGGATCACAGAGCTCTTCAAGAATATTGGGGCTCCTCTAACAAATTCATTTCCCATAGTTGTAGGGAAAGCTCCCAGGGCAGGTAAGTAGGTCTTAGATGACAAATTCACTCTGACGTTCCAAACTCCCTAACCCTTTGAATGGCTTCCTCTATGGTAAACCAAGGAAGATATGGCATTTCAGGTTCAATCAATATGGGCCTCCTTTTGCTCCATGTTTCAACCAACCAACCAACCAACCAACCTATCTGTGAGAATTCTTTCTAACTCCCTGAACTGTGACTTAAATGCAGAATGTCTGATTAGTGAACTCACGTCAATCAATTCAGCCTGATCCAACTTTATTGGTTCCTTCCACCATTATTCCACACCCTTAATATTCATTTCCACACATATCCACGGGTTTCTGTTTGTATAAATTAAAAAATCAATACGTTTTTCTGGACAGTAGCATACTTCTGCATGACTCACACTTTGTAATTCACCTTTGGGGACCTCTAAAACTTCAGTCTAGTTATAGGAGGAGAAGCAAAGATGGGTATTTAGCATGAGTCCTAAGGAGAATGAGCACTGTCTTGCTTGGCAACTGCCTCAAGGGAGGCTGTTGCAGTTTCTTTAGGCAATGCACGGTTAATCTCCTCAACGGTGGTGGCGAGACTGCTTCTATAGGCAAGGAAGATGCATTCAAATTTAGGGGTTCAATGTCCCCAGCTTTTCCATGGTTTTCACACACACACATTCTCCAACTTCCTGAATCCCATTCCTTTCTAATCAATGCCCTCACCTTAACAGTAGACACCCTGTGAGACTGAGAATTCAATTTGCTTTGTAATACAGTCACTTACAGGATGAGATGCTGGTTTGGTTTTCAGCAATCTCAGCCCCACAGCTGTAGAAGTTAAGTGTTGCATTCTGGGCAGACATAGAAGCTTTTGGTTCATTCATTCTATGCTTGAGTTAGGAACTTGTATCCCTGAGTTCATCCTTTTCTTCTCCCACTTTTACCAGCAACATTAGGAGCAACCAGCCAGTCTCATTACACTTAGTTTGACAAAAATGTTCAAAGACATCCTGTGCCTCATCACCCAGATCTTTGCCCTTTTCAGGTGTTTAAATTAGGAGTATCCAATGGTGATATTGTGCTTATTTCCATTGCCACATCATGCCAAGGATGGATAGACAATGGTATTGTATCTAGGTCAAATTTCTTAGGGTTTTGTTTTGTTTTTTTTGTTTTTGAGATGGAGTCTTGCTCTGTCACCCATGCTGGAGTGCAGTGGCACAATCTCTGCTCACTGCAACCTCCACCTTCCGGGTTTAAGCAATTCTCCTGCCTCAGCCTCCCAAGTAGCTGGGACAACAGACGCCCGCCACCACGCTTGACTAATTTCTGTATTTTAGTAGAGACAGGTTTCACCATGTTGGCCAGCCTGGCCTCAAACTCCTGACCTCAGGTGATCCACCTGCCTCGGCCTCCCAAAGTGCTGGGATTACAGGCATGAGCCACCACGCCCACCCAAATTTCTTAGTTTTGATCACTGTTCTATGGTTATGTAAGATATTCCCATGATTGTAAGCTGAGTTAAGGGCATCTGAGAATTCTCTTTACTATTTCTGGAATTCTTCTGAAAGTCTGAAATAATCTCATAATAAAGGGTTAAATATTAATTTTTAATTTGAGATTAAACCCAAAACCTCAACTTCCATAGTTCTTTGCCTGACCTATATGGTTATATGGTCACCAACAACACAAAAGAAAATTATTTTTAGTTTGTAGCTGGACCGTATAATGGAACTTTCAATATTCAAAGGATACATTTTTTACTTTCTGAATTAACAACAATTTAGTATACATTGGATTTTTGCCTGCATGAATTTTTTAACCAATATTTTGCAGCAATGCAACAGAAAACTTAAAAGCAAACACATCAACATTTTGTGTTAGCAAAATACTGAAAGTAAAATTCTAGAAAATGTTAAAGAACAATATGGAGTAATTCCTGGCTCCCACCCACCACCTGCTCTTTGCCTGGGAACTTTTCCCTTAACCAATTGCAGTCCCTCTTGCCATGGCTAACTGGGCCTGGAATACACACTTGAGCTTGAAGGCCACAGTCAGTTGGCTGAACCAATCAGGTTCTCTCCAGGAATTTACAGTCTGGACACCAGACACTCTAGTACTGTATTCTGTTGATGCTAAATACACTTTTCACATATTTTATTTCCAAAATCATAATGCATCTTACAATAGCTTGTCATTACATTTAACAGACAGCATTTTTTCCTTGGTAATACATTAAGCAATAGTGCATGTTAGCATATGTGAGATACGGAGTATGAATCTAGTATGTGCCTCCTGAGCATTTTGGTGGGAGACCACATATGTCTGTTGCTGCCACTTCTCTTTCTGCACACATAAGCAAAAAAGAAAATCCTATGAAGAGAAAAGAAAGAATGAACCAAAGATACAGAGGAAAAATGAAGAGGAGAGACTTGTAGCTATAGAGAGAGACAAAAAGATTTATATGGAAGAGTAAGATTTGCTGCTTTGGCTTCATACAATGTTTCATTTTGTTTATCTCATTTTTTGTGTGACCAAATGGTACTTTCATCCTTAGGCTCTCCAAATTGCTTTTGTATATTCATAATAAATCCTTCTTCACTAAAAATTATACACTAAAAGATACAGGGTACTCAAGGACACCACAAAGATCAGTAAATCAGCCAAGTTTTCCAGAATTTCAAAAGGAAATTTGTCATTTGTATTGAATGTGTTTAATATGAAAGGTGCTAGTGTTCCTTATACATTCTAGTAAAAAGGTGGTTTTTACTAGGCCAAAGGAACAAAGATTACAAAAGTATGTTTAAAGAGGAAGTCAAATCTCATTAGGAAAGGACAAAGGAAAAATAAAGAAGAAATTAAGAAGAAATGCAAGCACATAATCGTCTTATACACAAATTCAATTAAACTGCTAAAATGAAGAACACAGACATTATGTGTCCTCCTTTGCAAAAACATCCCTGGGATAGTATATTATTTGCCTCCTATATTTTCATCTTTTTTCATAACGTCGATGTTTCTAATTTATGTCATGATTTTAGTATTTCAATTCTATAGGCATGGAAAGTGAATTCCTTATAAGTTTGCCTAGTTGGTATCACCATTTTTATTGACTGACTTGTCTACTTGATGTTAGAATTTGGCAAAAGTATATATACAAATAGGACACAAGTCATTGATACTGGAGCCTAATTTTTATTACATATTTATATGCTCACTTGTAAATACCTACATGAGATCATTACCATAGAAACTGAGGAAGTGTTATGCTGCACATTGTTTTGCATCTAATGTATTTTGCATAACAAAATAAAAAGAGAACAGCATTTCAAAGGCAATGAGGGAGAGACAAGTGAGCTACCAAGGCTCTCCATGTTAGGGAGTACGGTGGTACTTGAGCCTTCCTGCTTTTGTCTTTTTTTCTGATATCTTGGCTCAGGTTGCCCCAAAGACAACAATTTGTATATAGGTAGTTTATTCTGGGAGGTGATCCTAAAACACAGGAATAGGGGACTGGAAAGAGTAAACAGAGAAGGAAAAGTGCATCACACTGTACATTTTTGAAATGTGGTACATATACACAATGGAGTACTATGCAGCCATAAAAAAGAATGAGATCCTGTCATTTGTAACAACATGGATGGAACTGGAGGTCATTATGACAAACGAAATAGGTCAGGCACAAAAAGACAAATTTCATATGTTCTCACTTATTGGTGGGAGCTAAAAATTAAAATAATGGAACTAATGGAGATAGAGAGTAAGAGAATGGCTATCACAGGCTGGGAAGAGTAGTGGGGATAGTTAATGGGTACAGAAACAGAATGAATAAGACCTAGTATTTGCTAGCATAACAGGGTGACTATAGTAAAAAATAATTGTACATTTTTAAATAACTAAAAGAGTACAAATGGATTGTTTGTAACAAAGGACAAATGCTTGAGGTGATGGATACCCCATTTACCCTGATATGATTATTATGTATTGTATGCCTGTATCAAAATATCTCATGTGCCTCATAAATATGTACACTATGATGTACCCACAAAACTATTTTTTAATGTGCATGTTTGACCTGAGCACCCCTGCGGGCAACTGGAGCTGGGTCCTGCTGCTCTTATTGGATGCACTTCATAATGTCTGCATGAAGGACTGAAGAAGAAAGTATTCACATACAGACTCCTGCACCATGGGTCAAGGGCTAGACCATGAAGTGGTCATTTTCTCACCCTTCCATTTTTATGCATAGCTTAAAAGGGTGTGATAGATTTCAGTGGACATCCTACAGAACAGCAGCAGAGAAGTCCTGGGGCAGAAATATGAGATCAGCTGAGGCAAAGTGTTACCAGGTTATGCCGGCATATAGCTGGTTGCCACAGCAACAACTGGAGTATAAAGGTCATGAGGGTATCAGGAGGAGAAGACAGATGTGAGCAACACTGCTGAGGTCCTATTCCTCTTGATATCATGTAAATTCTATATCCTGGCCAGGTGAAGTGGCTCACACCTATAATCTCAGCACTTTCAAAGGCCAAGGCAGAAGAATCACTTGAGCCAAGGAGTTTGGACAAGCCTGGGCAACATAGTGAGACCCCCATCTCTACAAAAAATAAAAAAGTAGCTGGACATGGTAGTGCACGCCTATAGTTCCAGCTATTCAGGAGGCTGAGGTGGGAGGATCCCTTGAGCCTCAGAGGTTGAGGCTGCAGTGAGCCGTGTTCGCACCGCTGCACACCAGCCTGGGCAACAGAGTGAGACCCTGTCTCAAAAGAAAATGTTTTAAATTTAAAAACCTGCATATATATATACTGTATTTATTTAATAAAGTTTCAAATTAATGATTTAAAAAGTGAATTGGTTATTTATCTTATTGTCCAATAACAAAAGCAAATATAAATAAGTAGATCTTTTTTCTTAGTGGGACAAATATCAAAGCATTTACTCTTAACATCATTGTGCGTGATGCTGTGGTTAGCAATGGGTTGAAAGAACAATCCTAAATTATTAGTAGATATAAGTCTGATTAAAGAAATCAATTTGTGATTCACATGGTCCTTTCAACAGATGATTATATAAGTAAATTTATTATGTTAAGATAAAAGGCAGACATAGACCTACTGTATTAGTCAGGGTTCTCTAGAGGAACATAACTAATAGAATAGATAGATAAAGGGGAGTTTATTAAGGAGTATTAGCTCACATGATAACAATGTGAAGACTCACAATAGGCCATCTGCAAGGTGAGGAGCAAGGACGCCAGGCCAAGTTCCAAAACTCAAAAGCATGGAAGCCGACAGTGCAGCCTTCATTCTATGGTCGGAGGTCCAAGAGTCTCAAAACTGAAGAACTTGGAGTCTGATGTTCGAGGGCAGAAAGCATCAAGCATGGGAGAAAGATGGAGGCCAGAAGACTAAGCCAGTCCAGTCCTTCTATGCTCCTCTGCCTGCTTTTATCCTATCCACACTGGCAGCTGATTAGATGATGTCCACCCAGATTGAGGGTAGGTCTACCTCTCCCCGTCCACTGACTCAAATGTTAATCTCCTTTGGTAACAACCTCACTGACACACCCAGGAACAATACTTTGCATCTTCAATCCAATCAAGTTGACACTCAATATTAACTTCTACCATGCAGAAGAACAAAAAGGTGATTTCATGCCAATAATGAAGAACAAGTAGATTTAACAACGTAGCGTGAAAAGCTCCATATTCATTCAGTCATTATGGTAAAAAGGTACATTAAGTGAAGGAGATGCACATGCAACCCAATAATCTGCAATAGACATAAAAGAGCCATCTGATGAAGGCTAATTGTCAGGACAGCAGAAAAGAGCACGAAGGTATTAGCACTTGGGGAAGCAGGAAGGTCCTCAGAGAAGGTGTCCGGGACACCAGCTATCTCACGTGGCCACCTCCTTCTTCCTCAGGACCCCTGGAAGAAGATGGCCAAAAAAGATGCTCTCGCTATTACAGGAGTCTCCAGATTTTGCTTTGGCTGGTATTTTCAATACCTAATGTTAATTTAACCTTCCCCTCTTTGACTCATATTTTCTCCTACAGAAAAAAACTCATCCCATTTTAGACTATTTCATATCAGATTTATCTATCTTCCAACCTTAACTGTTCTAAAGCTGTACTTGTGCTCAAGCTTCTGAAATTGTGCCCCAGTGAACGTTGTAAAAGGACTTGTGGCCATTCTATCCATTTAGTATCTCTACTCTATCTTAATATTCTGGAGCTATTTAGAAATCCTCCTACCTACCCAGAACTAATGTTCACAAAGCCTTCTTTACTTCATTGTGTGGAATGCTTTCGCAACCTAGATCGGAACTCCTACCCTTTCCTGCTGAGGATGTTTATCAGTGACATTGATTAAATGGAGAATGTTCTCATACAAAGTGTATTTATGTTATAATTTATCAGACTGACTGCCACTAGCTCTACTCTGACTTTTCCTTTTAATGATACATTGATGTCACTGATTGAGAGTTTCTCAATAAGATGTTTTATCTTTCTGAATTAAGTTGAGTGATAATTAATTTTAAATTAATTCTTCTGAATGAATTTATGAGTGTTTTAATACTCTTAGATGTAGGTAACAACAAATTTTTCTTCTGTCTTCTAGGTCTTTGTCCATTTGCTTCATTAGAAATTCATATATATATACACATATATGTAATAACTATGGTGAGGAAGTTTCAAATTCAGAGATGTAGGCTACCAAGGGAACATTCCTATTTTAAAGAAAAAAGTTAAACATAGGAAATGCTATTTACAAGGATGCATGATAAATTGTCAGTAGTTCAGAAACTGGGTGTGGTGGTTTTAAAAATGGCCTCCACTGAGGCGGGTGGATTGCCTGACGTCAGGAGTTCAAGAGCAGCCGGGCCAACATGGTGAAACCCCTGTCTCTACTAAAAATAGAAAAATCAGCTGAGCACGGTGGCACACGCCTGTAATCCCAGCTACTCAGGAGGCCGAGGCAGGAGAATTGCTTGAACCCGAGAGGCAGAGGTTGCAGTGAGCCAAGAACACGCCACTGCACACCAGCCTGGGTGACAGAATGAGACTCCATGTCAAAAATACATACATACATACATAAAAATTAAAAACTCAGATAAATGTATTTTAAAAATTTATTTTAAATGGCCTCCAAATTTTTTGACACACCTCTCACTGAAAGGTGGCCTCTAGGTTCTCTCCTCTTGAAATGGGGCTTTGTAAAAACTTCAAAAACAGAATATAGCAAAAGCAACACTGTACCTGTGTCTGACTCCAGGCTTTAGGAACTGGCGGCTTCCACTTTTCTCTTGGGGTACTTGCTCTTGCAACCTGACATCATGCTGTGAGGATCTACAAACAGGCCATGGAGAGGTCCAGCTGAATCAGAACCAGACCCCTAACCCACAGCACTGAGGTCCCTGCAAATGGCCTGCACCAATTTGCTAGCATCTTAAAAATGGATCTCCGCCAAGTACAGTGGCTCACGCCTGTAATGCCAGCACCTTTGGAGGCCAAGGCAGGAGGATCACTTGAGCCCAGGAGTTCAAGACTAGCCTGTGCAATGTATTGAGACCCCATCTCTACCAAAAAAAAATTTTTAATGAACCTGCTAGCCACCACCATGCAGCCCCAGCTGGTACCCAGCAGAGATGAGCTCCTTGCTGTCAAGCTCTGTCCAAATTTCAGATTCATAAGAAAAAAAAAGAAAAGATTACCATGCCAAGCCACTATGTTTCAGGATGATTTATTTTACACCAATACAAACTGGAACAAAGAATTTTATATAATATCTTAGTAAACTCTTAAATGTCACACAAAGTTAGAAGAAATAAAATTAACAAGTAATAAAAGAGGTTATATGCACCTATCAGTTTTAGAGATATTCAGGTGCTCTCATTGTAAATGGAAAGATGGTCACCAAAAGTTTAAGAGATTTGCCCAAAATTAAGAATTTAATGAGAAGAGGCATTAGGATTAAAACGCAATCCTTTGGCCTCCAACTTTGATATTTCAATGTCTTGCCAATAGCCTGTGCCCCTTTGCTGGCAGCCTGTGTTTGAAAGGAATTTGTTTTCTAGGGCAGGTTTGCACTTAACTGGCATTCTTGAAAAGATAACCCCAGAGCTAATCAAGTTAAAGGAAACTCATATTACATTGGAAGTCAAATGCTTCTCCCAGATGTAAACATTTATTTTAGAATCAAAGTCATTTCCTTAAGCCTCAAGTGATAGTATTTATTAATTATTGGCAACAAGACTGTCCAAACACCTGGGTAGTACACTCAATTATACCAACAAGCAAGCAACATAGAACAGTATAAGCTCCAGCAATAACAAAACCAATGGCCAAAGAAAATGTTAACTCTTAGCAAAATAAATATGTCACGTGACATGCTGTGTTTGGATGCCACTTGAGAATCTAACTGACCCATCACTGAAAATAAATTAAAAACAGAAATATCCACTTGCCATCTTTATTAGTCCATTCTCATGCTGCTAATAAAAACAAACGCAAGACCGGTAGTTTATAAAGAAAAGAGGTTTAACTGACTCACAGTTCAGCATGCCTGGGAAGGGCTCAGGAAACTTACAATCATGGTGGAAAGGGAAGCAAACATGTCCTTCTTCACATGTTGGCAGCAAAGAGAAGTGCTGCACAAAATAGGGAAAAGCCCCTTATAAAATCATCAGATCCGGTGAGAACTCACTAGCATGAGAAAAGCATGAGGGTAACCACCCCAAGATCAAATTACCTCCAACTGGGTCTCTCCCATGACATGTGGAGGTTATGGGAACTACGATTCAAGATGAGACTTGAGTGGGGACACAACCAAACCCTATCACCATCCCAGAAAATATCACTTGATGTTTCCATTTCTATCACAAATTTACTGAGAAGGGATCCTATGTAACTGGTATTTTCTACAGTGCTTGCATGTGATTAATGCCTAGTAAATTTATACCAGCAAAACCAAAGAAGAAAACGCCCAGTGGTAGAGATGAGACAAACCTGATAAAGCCAAGCACACAATGAGAAAATGTAAGGGGATGGTAAATCTCATGTGTATACTCAACCAAAATACCTAGAGCACTGTTCAGGACTCCCTTCTACACCAAGGCAATCACACAGGAAATTTTCTGCTCTTCTGACTTGCAAAATAAAATAAATTCCCCACTCTTGTCCCTGTTTTTTCTCCTGTTTTGGCAGATATGATCAAATGAATATATAAATCTGAATTATAGTTCACATTCGCTGGCTGTTATAAGCCAAACAATTCCGTTAGTTAACAGACAATGTCCATGCCCAGAGGGATGACAATTCCTTTTTTATATCAAATTTTTCTCTAAAAAAAACTGCTCTAAGGACAATGACAGATGTCTGTTTTCTAGGGATGTTCTCTACTTTGATTTCTCTGATGTTAACACAACTGTGTCTTTGTCTGTTTCCAAGAAATAGTTCAGAATTCATTTTGGAAATCTGTTGACTTCTATAAATTCTAACTACTAAATTGTGACTACTAAATATAAACACCTATTATTAATTATACCAGGTACTTTACATCTTTTTCATAATAAAGTAGTTAAGAATCAGGAATGGGTACCAGGCAGACTCGGGTTTCAGTCCTGATTCTCTTCTGTTAGCACTATGACATTGGGAGAGTTACCAAAGCTCTTTGATCTGATGTGTTTTTGTAAGGATTAAGTTGGATTCAACAAGGAAGCAATATTTTTGCTTTTTGTTTTTTTGAGACAGAGTCTCACTCTGTTGTCCAGGATGGAGCGCAGTGGTGTGATCTCGGCTCACTGCAACCTACGCCTCCCTGGTTCCAGTGATTCTCCTGCCTCAGCTTCCCAATTAGCTAGGATTACAGGCACCAACCACCATGCCCAGCTAATTTTTGTACTGTTAGTACAGATGAGGTTTCGCCATGTTGGCCAGGCTGGACTCGAACTCCTGACCTCAAGTGATCCGCCCACCTCTGCCTCTCAAACTGCTGAGATTACAGTCATGAGCCACCACACCCAGCCTAAGGAAGCAATTTTGAAGATTTTTTTTTTTTTTTTTTTGCCCATGGATGAAGAATTGGCCCAATTAGTGATAAAACTAAGTGTTTTCTGTCTCCAAAGCTCCTACTTTACCTACTACACAATACCATTTTGAGGACCATGTATGAATTATACATTGAAGTGCATGGCTTAGAGTTATTGCTCTATGCAATGATGTTGTAACAGCATTTAAATATATTTCACTGCAAAACTTTATACAAATCATCACATTTTCTGAAAAATATTACAACATCACCATATGTATTCTCATGAGGAAATAACCCCTCATAACAGTTGTTGGACAACAATTCTCCAGGAGTCCCTCTGAAACAGACAGCAGCCATGCTTACTGCCCATTAAAAGATTCAGGTTCCCTAAACTCAGCATCTTCCTCTCATAATGTAATCCATTCAGTGTGCAAATGTCATCTGATTCTCTTCACATCACCATGTGGGAAGTGGGGCTTGGGCAATGGATGCCAAAATGCTGGTATTTTGACTACTCCTATTGCTATGGGTAATAAACTCTTCTCCATCTTTGACTCAAGATGCATATTTGTTCTGCCAGCATTCATAAAACTGTGGTAGGCTAAAAAATAAACTCTTAGGAGAAACAGGCACTAAAACTACCAAAGAGTAATTGGGTCTACAAGGAATACCAGCAGGCTTCATCATTTCCGTCATCATTATGAGTTTAATTGTGTCCCCTAAAACAACATGTTGAAGCCCTGGTCCCCAATATTTAGAATGTGACCTTATTTGGAAAAGGGGTGGTTGTGAATGATTAAGATAAGATCATACTGGAGTAGGACGGGTCCCTAATCTAATATGATTGGTGCCCTTATAAGAAGAGGAGACGACAGGGATGCACAGGAAGATGACCATGTGAAAACAGAGGCAAACACTGGAGTGAGATATTAATATCTACAATCCCAGAAACACCAAGCGTTGCTGGCCACCATCAGAAGCTAAGAAGACAAGAGAGGATTCCACCCAAAGTCTCAGAGGAAGCATGACAATGGCAAAAGTGAATGAACAATCTGAGGCTTGGGGAATAGCTCATAAGAACAGTAAATATGAAGGCTGCAAAAAGCCCAAGATGAATTCTCCTCAACAGTCTCCTACCTCATACGCCCAGACACTCCATCCTACCACCACCCCAATGAGACAAAAAGGAAATAGAGTAAAATGTGTTGCTCTTCTGTAAATCAGAGAAGATAGCTCTTAGGTTGGTCTGTTTTTCTCACACGACACACCCAATCCATCATGAAATCCTACCACTAGCAATATATATACATATCTAGAATTCCTCATTCCTCACCAACTTCACCATTATCACCTCCCCGAAGTCCACCATTGTCTTTCAACTGAATTATTGTAGTAGTTTTTTAACTGACGTCTCTCTTACTTTCTTGTGTCCCTACATTCTATTTCCACACTGCAATCAGAGTAATCCTGGCTGGGCACGGTGGCTCACGTCTGTAATCCTAGCACTTTGGGAGGCCAAGGTAGACGGATCACTTGAGGTCAGGAGTTCGAGACCAGCCTGGCCAACATGGTGAAACCCCATCTCTACCAAAAAAATACAAAAATTAGCCAGCCATGGTGGCATGTGCCTACTGTGCCAGCTACTCAGGAGGCTGAGGTAGGAGAACCACTCGAACGCAGGAAGCAGATGGAGGTTGCGGTGAGCTGAGATCACGCCATTGCACTCTAGCTTGGGCAACAGAGTGAGATGAGTCTCAAATAAAAATAGAGTAATTCCTATTAATTGTAAATCAGATTACGTCTCTCTTTCAAAATCCTTCGATGGCTTCCCATTTTTCTCTATATCAAAACCTAAGTCCTTTGGGAGGCCAAAGCAAGAGGATTGCTTGAGGCCAGGAGTTTGAGACCAGCCTGGGCAACATAGTGAGATCCTGTCTCCACAGAAAAATTTAAAATATTAGCCAGGCACAGTGGCGCACACCTGTAGTCCTAGCTACTTGGGAGGCTAAGGTAGTAGGATTGCTTGAGCCCAGGAGTTCAAGGCTTCAGTGAGCTATGATTGTGCCACTGTACTCCAGGCTCGGCAACAGAGTGAGACCCAGTCTCTAACAAAAAAAAAGAATTAGAAAATTAGAAAATTTCTAATCTAAAATTCTTAGATTAGAACAAACAAAATCTCAGTCTTAAAATAACCACAAGGTTCTGTATAATCAGGATCCTGCTACTCTCTCCTATCCTTTCCTACTGCTCCTCCTCTACAGTGGCTTCCTGGATGATCCTTAAACATGTCAAGCCCACATGCATCATAGCATGTTCCTCTGCCTAGAACAGAATGGTTTGTTCTCTTGTATTTTACAGATCTCTGGTCCAAAAACACAAATCTCTTATTAGAGAGCCTCTCTTAACCACTCAAAAACACTACTACCCTACTTTATTTTCCTAATATATGTTTATCTATGTCCACCTAAGATATAGAAACTGGTTTATACATGATTATTGATCTGTTGTCTGTTCCCCTATTAGTTTGTAAACCCCTTAAGATAAAGGGCTTTGCCTATTGTTTTCACTGCTATATTCCCAATGCCTAGTTCTTGAAATACAATACCTACTGAACAAATATTTATTGTTAAATGGGTGAAGATGAGATCCATGAATTATCTCGTGGATATTTTTGTAAAAGTAACTGAAAAGTCTAGACAGACATGCCCTACATGAACTAAAATAAAATGTACTTCAGTTAAAAAAAATTTAAGGAAGTCTTAGGCTATAGTCCCCAAAAGAGAGATGACAAAAGAGAGAATATGTCTTATTTCTCTTCAAATCACAATTCTTACTTAACATATATCTGTTTAATTAACTTTGTTTTATCAGCATTGAAAATCTTTTTCTTTCCATTATAGCAATAGTCAAATCATTGGGCAATTCATATTTCCCCTTCCTGTGGTCTATATATGATGGTTAATTTTATGCATCACCTTGACTGGGCTAAGGGATGTCCAGAGAGCTGGTAAAAAATATTTCTGGATGTATGTATGAGGGTGTTCTGGAAGAGATCAGCATTTGAGTCAGCAGGCTGAATAAGGATCTGTCCTCACCCATGTGCGTAGGCCCCATCCAATTTGCTGAGGGCCTGAATAGACCAAATGGAGAAGAAAGGGCAAATTCTCTCCTCTCTTTGAATTGGGACACATCCATCTTCTCTTGCCCTCAGACATCAAAGCTCCTTGTTCTCAGGCCTTCAGACCTCCATCGCCAGCCCCAGGCTAGCCACCCCCAACATCCCCAACTCAATTCTCAGGCTTCAGCCTCAGACTGAGAGTTATATCATCTCCTCTCTAGTTCTCAGGCCTTTGAACTCAGTATTTCGAATCCTAGCGTTTCTGTTTCTCTGAAGAACCCTAATATACTATAATACAATTTTTCTTTCTCAGAAACAAACCAATATTTATAATAATTCAGTTATAATCCCATTCAGTCAGTGACCAATATGAAAAAACTAATCCTCTACAAAAACAGATTCTACTAATGTCACAAAAATAATCTCAATATCTAAAATCAATGCAAATTCAGCAAGTAGTTCTCTTGCAAATTTGATATTTAACTCAAACATAAAATATATTGAATGTTTTCATGATATTTATTAAAATCCCTAGTGGGTTAAGTCTCACCAATGGTACAATTCATTTTTCTCTCAAAGTCAAATTTACCTTTTTAAACTTTCATGCTCTTTAATAACTATACATATAGCAAAACACATGTTAATATTTCACCATCCTTCTCCTCATTTTCATTAGCCACATAATAATTCATGGTATTGCGCAACAATAATTTTGAGAGACATACACTCCAAACTTGTCGAATTGTACATTAATTATGTACAGCTTTTTATATGTTAAGCACACCTCAATAAAGTGATTTTTTTAAAAGAGGCATGCAAGTTAAGGAGTAGAATTTGCAATTATGTTCTTCAGATTCTGCAAATTTTTGAAGAGTAGAGCATCCTTCAAAATAGTGATTTCAAACCTTAAAATTATGCAAACTAACAAAATTCAAATGTTTCTCTAGCAATATATGACCAACAAGATGTAAGCAAAATTCCTATTGCCCAAAGTTAAAGTATAAACTTGTCAAACATAATAATGAGCTCTATACAACCATGTACATCACAAGCCTAGCAAGGCATTTACAAGTGTATAAACTGTTGGGATAAATTATTTCCTTCACTTCTTGGATTATAATATTATTGGAACTTGGCGTTTGGGGGAATTGGAACTTAGTGAACTTTAGATGAACTGGGATATGGGCGGTTGCCTCTAATGAATCATTGTGACAGAGGCTGCTTTCCTTCTTTCTTTTTGTTTTTTAATAGGAAAGTGAGCCTACTGAGTTACCGTCTCTTTCCATCAAAAGCTCAATGAGAATTTGGAAGGTGAGTGGGAGTGTAAGACTTTGTTTTGATGAATAACTAAAATGGTTTGCTTACTGAACACTACTCTCCAGCAGTTTGCCAAGCCTCTAGAAAATACAGCCTTCCATAGAGTTTTACAAAATAAACTTGGAAGCAATTTAGAGTACAACATTTCTTCAAGACAGTTCATCAGTCAGAAGCAACCTGACTTCCCACTGGCACACTCTGAATCAGCCAAGAAGACTGCCTTTCAGTTACCAGGATGAATAGAAGGCTTGGCTTGAATTTCTAAGAAAGGAATTTCAAGACAAAGTAAGATTGCAGCAATTGTACAATTCCCGATTTCAAGGCAGGAGATAAAAATTCTAACAACAACTGATTCCTCTAAGAAGAATTTCATTTGTAAGGGATCATTCTCATACACCCAATATCGTGATTCTTAACAAAGGAGAAAAATTGTATTCTACGACCTACTCCTTTCATTTCCTCTCTTGTCTTTTCTCCTTTCCCTCTTCATATCAGCACTGCGGCTATAAGTTTGCATCCCTATCCATTTGCCTTTGAATTGCAGGGTAACAGAGCTGCCATTTTAGTCACCAGAGCAGAGGCAAAAATCGCTACTAATCACATAAGCAATTAATCTGAGTGTATGTCACATAATAGCTGAATATCCATGGGGAGCTAAGAAAATAAATCAAGAGGAACGTCTTCTTCCTAACGCAATTTTTCTACTCTTCACTACTCCAGATAAAAGAACAATGCTTATTAATGACTGAGATATTATTTAATTTAAAGTAACATGATGATACGGTGAACAAGCTGCCAATAAAGCCCAGCTCATTGGAATTCAGCATGGCTGAAACAATGTGTAGCTGGCAGTTAAAAAGCAGTCCCAGTTTTATCCCCCTGAAGGCTTTTCAGAGGCCGGCCCTGCCAACTTATACTAAATGTGTTCAGTCATACACATCATTCAGTTAACACTTTCTGAAAAACCAAGCAGGCCAAAAAGTCTGTCATTAACTTCTGAATTTTCCCTACTTTCCCTTTGACTTGGCTGCAGAAACTACCAAAGAGATAGACCCAGCCAGGCCATGGTTCTAATGATGTCGTGGGTGCTGTCATACAAATTTTTGCTTACCTTGCAGGATTATATCTGGAGATGAAGATGAAAAAGGTAGCAGAGAAGGTTGCCAGCTGGCCAATGTCACCAAAAGGATGAACCTTCCAGATCCTTTCATCCTATCACTAATCATTCCAAATTCTTTTTAGTTTGCTCTCCCTACCTGACTGCACCAGTTCTGGAACCAGACCATCTGGGTCAGAATTCCAGCTTTCCCATTCTTGGGTGGGTCATTTTATCCTCTCTGTGACTCAGTTTCCACATCTGTAAGATGGGGTTAATACCAACCTTATGGGATCATGGTAATTATTAACTGAGTTAATTCTCATAGAAAAATGGCTAGCAAACCCTTGTTGCTGTTTGTGGTCGTACTGGAAGGGACCAGATATTCTGTCTATACCCTCAATTGCTCATTTAGTATTTAACCCATAGAAGATACTTAGAAAGCCTGTTGGTTGGGTGGCCTTGGGCAAGGCATTTAAATTCTCTAAGCTGGTGAGAAAGAGATATATCTGGGGGTGGCAGAGTAGGGTGAACAGAGCTGAAATAAGATGGGCAGATATCAGTAATTCTTGAATCTGGATTCCATAGGGGTTATTTACACTATTTTCCTTATTTTTCTATACATTCAAATATCTCTATGGTAAAATTTGAACCAAAAAAAGAATTAATTTGAGCTTTAGTTCTTTCACCTAGGAAATAATAATAGCCTGCTTGCAAAGTTACAGAAAGGATTAGAAATATGTGAAGTACAGCGTGTGCCACATGATAAGGGCTTGACAAACAGTAATTATTTTTATTCTTCTTATTAACTGAGGAACTAAACCGTTATACCAATTTGAACCAGTGATATTTAAATTCAGGCACCTTGTTCTTCAGTCTATACCTTAGTTTTTGAAGGTCTACAAACTCCATTATATCCATGTACCCAGAAAACTTCTCAAAACCCAATTAAAATTAACTCAACACATAAAAGATTAATAAATAAACCTTGGCATCAATTTATTAACTTGCGGTGGAGATGGTGGGGAGACTTAATTAGGAGTGAGAGAAGCCAAAACTCTGGAGTAGTATGATCCCAATAGGCATTTCTTTCATCTAGGAAATGCACAATAAACTGGAATTCCTTCTAACTTCAGCCTCTCTCGCTCTCTTTCTCTCTCTCCTTCTCTCTCTCTGCAGAATAAAAGTTGCCGGATTCTTAATATCAAATTCCCCTTTTCCCAGGCTACAGATCACCTCTCTTTCTTTAGATGACTTTATGCTACCAATTAAGCTATGATTATATTTCATTGCTCAATCTTTCCTAGGGCAAAAAATAGGAAACCAACAAACTAAAATCTCACCTCATCTCCCTTCCTCTTCCAGGTACAGACCTACCCTCTCTCAGGCTTTCCTTTCATGCTGTCTCTTCTTAAAAAATTGTCTGCATGTGCCTCCGTTCCCTCACCTCCAATTATTCCACCCATTCTAATTTGGCTTCCACAACTGATCAAAGTTACTCTCCACCTAAGGCAACCAGTGACCATGCTGTCTGTTTAATGTCAAGAATAAAATATTTTAGTCTTAGAGTTTTATCTTTGTGCTGTGAAGATACGAAATATCTTAGTTACGAAGCTATGAAAAAGTATCTTCACAGCATTCTACACTGGTACACTGATGACTCCTTCCCTCCACCATTTCTTCTTTTTTCCATTGATTGATTGATTGATTGATTGATTGATTGATTGATTTTTGAGACAAAGCCTCATTGTTGCCCAGACTGGAGTGCAGTGGTGTGATCATAGCTCACTGCAGCCTCAGCCTCCCTAGTAGCTGAGGCTACAGGCATGTGCTACCACACTTAGCTAATTTTTTATTTTTTGTAGAGATTAGGTCTTGCTATGTTATACAGGCTGGTCTCAAACTCCTGGCATCAAGCAATCCTCCTGTCTGGGCCTCCCAAAGTGCTGGGATTTACAGGTATATGGCACCATGCCTGCCCCCCATTTCTTTCTAAAGTCTTCTTTTCCCTGATCTCAAATTATTCTGGTGATTTATCTACTTTCTGGCCTAGCCTTTGCTGGCCCATCACCCCTTATTGCCTTTAGATGCTACAGGTTGTCTAGGTTCATTTCTGCCCCATTCTTTCACCATTATATTCTCTCTTCCTAGGTTTACCAGAATTTCCTAAATCAGGGTTTTTCACTCAGAGTTCTACTCTAAATTTTAAATCTATGTAATAAATTCATACTTAACATCTCCTCTAACATGTCACAAAGTCGCTTTAATTGCAAAATGTACAAAACTGAATTCATCCACCTTGCCTCGACCCAACTTGCCTTGTGTGTTCCTCATAAGACATCTGGGCCTATATGCCAGAAAAAGCAGGAGTTTCCCTGACATCTCCTTTTCTTTTATTTCTTCATTTCCTATCGATCTATCTATCTATGAATTACATGTATTTGTGCAGGTATGTGTATGTGCACTCATGCCTCCTGGGGGATTGTTGGGTACTTTTGAGTGCCTGTTTAGGGTTTACTGTAACTAATTTAAAGTGAAATCAGCCAATAAGGTTGTGTGATTTGCTCTAGAAACATGCAGCTGGTCAGAGCAGGTACAAAGGTCAGATCATAGAGTTTAATTAGGATTGAGTTTTTCCAGATTGTGGGAAAGAGAGTTTCTGGGGTGTCAATTGAGTTGGTCTCGCCTGTGTGAGACACCCATGGGGAGCCATGGGCAGCCTTTCAGGAGAAAAGTCTCCTTATTGCCTTCATGTCTTTATGCCTCGAGAGCATAACCGCTCAGCGGCATTCCACAGGTTGCTCAGGGAGATAACACTCCCTTGAAGTAGTGGAGTATAATCAAACATCTCAGCTCCTTCTGAAACCCACTCCCACCTGTTTCAGTCCCGGTTAAGTTAAAGATTTTAAGTAGTTTAGACACACGTCTTTGATCAAGGAAATTCACAGAAACCGCCACTGCTATACATCTTATTGAATGACTCATGAGTTCTCTTTCACTGATTAATCCTTTTCCTCATCCCTTCCTCTCCCTCCCATCTGCCCTAAGAACAAAGAGCTTGTAAACCAATTAATTGGGTGGAGCCCGAGAGCTCTGGACCTTGAGTAAGCCTCCAATGCTCTGGTCCCCTGGACCCACCTTTTAAACACTTATTCTGTCTCTTTCTAACTCCTTTGTCTCCGCCGGACTCGGGGTACCTGCTGGGTGATGAGGAGCTGGTTTCCCCAACACAGATGAGTATACAGAAGAGAAGGACAAGGAATTGGGGGATATTGCAAGACCGTGATTATAATTATGAATCATAAAATCTATGATGAGTATTAGAGAAGTTAATCTAAAAGGGAGTGGCGATTGATAAAAATAATAGTGGAATCAGTGGACGAAGGTCTCAAGAAAGTCAAAGAAAATGAATGGAACAGATTGGAGGTCAAGAATGAACTGCCAGGCTGGGCGCGGATGGCTCATGCTTCTAATGCTAGCATTTTGGGAGGCCAAAGTAGGCGGATCACCTGAGGTCAGGAGTTTGAGACCAGCCTGGCTAACATAGTAAAACCCCGTCTCTACAAAAAATCCAAAAATTAGCCAGGCATGGTGGTGGGCACCTGTAATCCCAGCTACTAGGGACGCTGAGGCAAGAGAACGGCTTGAACCCGGGAGGCAGAGGTTACAGTGAACCAAGATCGCACCATTGCACTCCAGCCTGGGAGACAGGAGACTCCGTCTCAAAAAAAAAAAAGAAAGAACTGCTAAAATCAAGGAATTGAGGGACAAGTTTTGAAGGAGGGGAAGAAATATGTTAAAATAGGGGAGAAAGACATCACCAAATTCTAACAATTTTACTTTCTAAATATCTCTTGGATCTATCCATTTGTTCCTGCCAACTCAACCCTACTCAATGTTACCATGTATGGGAATGTCCAATAATTCACCAATTTAATACAAGACATATAATAGTTTTAAATTTTATTTCTAAATTGCCTATAATTGAGAGTATTTTTCTAGAAAACAGAAAACAATAAAAGGTATATCCACTGAAAATATCAATGTTTACTAGAGTCTTATGTTTAAAAAAATCATAAGCATGCACATTACAGAACAGGCATAACCTATAATATGCACATTAGTTAAATTCTGTACTTATAAAAAGTCTAGGGGAAGTAACTGAAAATATAAATTTTAAAATATTTCTGTAGTCATAGATTAAAAGGTAAATGTGTATAAGCAATATAATTCTCACTATATTTTATTCTGCAGAAATACCTTAAACGACACTGCATTGTCAAAGAATAGTATGTCCTCTACAATTAAAAAAAATACAAGAATTTGCATTCTTAATAAACATGGCATTGTGGCATAAGAGGATGTAGCTTAGTGCCTCTTGCAAGGCAATGGAAATATCTGAGTTGACAAATGAATCTCGTAGTAGAAACTCTATTACAAAACAGGCCAAGACATTCTGGCATATTGTGAAGATATTTCAAAGGCTCATAACTATTATTTCTGGTAAACTGCTATAATTATATTTTTATATTTAAAAAGAATATTTTATAAATATACTTTGTTGTGTATAATCAACATATAAATATAAACACCTTTATTAATGATTACATAACAGTTTAACCATATGACTTGCAGACAGAATTATTAGTTTTACATGTTTGCAAAAATGCTTCTAAAGAAGGAGTTTTTTAGTTACCCTGCAAGCATATCCTTTTAAGTAATAGAATCATCCTTCCAAATGGCCAGAACTGGGTGATAAAATATGCCCTGCCAAATTCCACCTGTACAGATAAACTCTTCAAAATATAAATTTTGCACTGCTTTAAAATATTTTATTAATATAACAGTGACAGACAAAGAGCAGGTACAAAATCCAAAGATGTGAACACCGTATCTTATCACTGCTTCCCCTGAAGTTTCATCACAGGCATGGCTGTGAGAGCACACAGACTGATCTTTCTTATTTTTGAGACTGCATGAGGAAAACAGATTTTTCTAAGGCAACTAAAGCCCCGTGGTAACATATTTTATTTCAACTCAACAACTAGAATTGCAACCTGGAGGTGAATCACAAATCCTCCATAACACATATAAGCCTCATAATTCTCAGGGAAATTGACCAAAATTTCTATCTTAAAGGAAGGGTGCTTTAAAGGACACCTTATTCTACAGGTGTCATAAGGCCCTCGCTAAAATAGAAAGGAAAAAACCTGAAAATGCAGATGATACTTTCTGTGATGTTTTTAAGTACTAAAAAGGGAATTGAGAGAGGAAATTACAGAGATTATGGAAATGAGAAAATAAAGAATGAAGTAATAATACTAGGTTATTTATATGGTTCCTATCCTCAGATGATAGCTATCACTAATGTTACTGAAGATAGAGTATTAATCATTCAAGTAATTACTTTTAAAAAATATATTCTTAAATTTTTATATATAAAACTTAGAGAAAAATAGTGTTTCAAAGCAGAAATTACTGTTCTTTTACCTTTTGGTCATTCTGCTACTCGTTATCAGAGAATGGAGGGAGAAAAGTTGACTCCCAAACCAGATGCATTTTGCTACTTACTTCTAGTTCTCAAGAACATTTTGGTGGCCAGGGCCAGGTGCATCATGGAGGGGAGGTAATTTACAGCTGGAAGTTGACTGAATGAGTGTAAAGTAACTCAGGATTCTGGCCCACATCTTACTATAGAAATATCATAGAAATACTGTCTTGATTCTACTTACCTGATATTTAAGGAATGAAAACATGAATGTCCTACTAGATAGCACACATGTACTATGAAGCTAGTGGATGTTAACCACAAGGTATTACTATTGTGTAACTATCACCAAGTATTGTAATAAAAAGCTCTGACTCATTAATGATTTTAATAAAATTGACTCTAATTTTTTTTGAGACAGGGTCTCGCTATGTTGCCCAGGACTCGAACGCCCGGGCTCAAGCAATCCTTCTGCCTCAGCCTCCCAAATAACCAGGACTACAGGCACACCATCGCACCTGGCTCTCTTTAATTTTGTTACTCTGAGAGGTTCAAGCTAAATTCCCTAAAATAACATGGAACTAGGGAATGCACTAAAATATAAATAAAGCCTCCAAACACATTTGATTCAGATTCATGTCATATCCATGCTAATTCTCTAGGAATAGATTATTTTGACTCACTATGTCATTAAAATGTTTTCAAAATTTGTGTTCTGCTCTTATTTCTAATTATATAGATAACTGCATAGTGACATGAAAATGAATGTTTCACTGAGATCCTAAAAGTGTGGTTTCTTGGTAGAGACATAATTGGTATTTGAGGTAGAATAATTCTTCAAATCTGGTTCACCAAGTCCAGCTTTGACATCTCTGAACTGGAGCAGAAGCCATGACGATAAAATCCCAGAGGACTGGGCATTCAAGGGAAAGACATTTAACCAACACATCACTCCCTGCTCTATCTCAATCCTTCAAGTCCTCCACCACACCCCCCAGGCAACCACTGATCTGCTTACTGTCACGGTAGTTTGCATTTTTAAAAATTTCATATAAATGAAATCATATAGTGTATAATATTTTTATCTGGTTTGTTTCATCCAGCATAATTATTTTGAGATAAACTGACATTGTAGTATGTAACAATAATAGTTCATTCTATTTTATTGTTGAGTTGTGTTGTATGGATACACCACAATCTGTTTATCCATTCATGTGCTGGTGGACATTTGGGTTGTTTCCAGTTTTTGACTATTGCAAAAAAAAAAGCTGCTATGAACATTGGACACATGTTTTATTTTCTTGTGGTTATATGGCAGGTAATGTGTTAGGTTAGATGCTAGGTATATGTCTAACTTTTTAAGAAACTGACAGTTTTCCAAGGTGATTATCATATTTTTTATATTCTTACCAGCAGTATGTGAGGGCTCCACCACATCTTCATAAAATTTGCTTTCTAATTTTATTAATTCTATCAGGTAAAAGAGTGGCATCTCACTGAAATTTTACTTGCATTGCCCTAAGCACAAATTATGTTAAGTGTTTTTTATGTGCTTGTATGCCAAACATATCTTTTTGGGTGAACTGTCTGTTCTTATTCATATTCAATCTAAGAGACAATAGTTTATTCAAAACAATAATAGCAACAATGAATTTGGTGACTATAGCTTATGAATAAGTAAAATGAATGAGTCAAAATAAATAGTATTTTCTTCTTTGTGATCAAAATTAAGATGTTATCACATCAAAAAAAACCTGTTATGACGATAAGATGGTTTTTGTAAACTTCCTGGTAAAAACAAAGCAAAAATCTTTAATAACTACACTAAAAACAAAAATCAAGGAATCAAAACACTCTGAGAGAGAAAATAGCTTAACAACAAAGGAAGACAGTAAAAAGGAAAAAAAGGAAGAATGGAGCTACAAAACAACTAGAAAACAAATAATATGGTAGTACCAAGTCCTTAGCTGTCAATAATTACCTTGCATGTAAATGGATTAAATTTTCCAATTAGAAAATAGAGTGGCAGGGGCCAGGCACAGTGGCTCATGCCTGTAATCCCAGTACTTTGGGAGGCCGAGGTGGGCAGATCACAAGGTCAAGAGATCAAGACCATCCTGGCCAACATGGTGCAACACCATCTCTACTAAAAATACAAAAATTAGCTGGGCATAGTGGCGCATGCCTGTGGTCCCAGCTACTCAGGAGGCTGAGGCAGGAGAATCGCTTGAACCCAGGAGGCAGAGGTTGCAGTGAGCCGAGATCGTGCCACTGCACTCCACCCTGGCAACACAGCAAGACTCCGTCTCAAAAAAAAGAAAATGGAGTGGCTGAATGAATAAAAATCAAGACCCAACTATATGCCACCTACAAGAGACTCACTTTATTTGGAAGGACATGCTTAGGCTGAAAGAAAATGAATGAAAAATAGATATTCCTTGCAAATGCAAACCAAAAGAAAGCAGGAGTAGCTAGCTATATTTCTATCAGATAAAATAACTTAAAGTTTGTTTTTAAACTATAAAAAGAGACAAAAAAGACCATTATGTGATGATAAAGGGGTCAATATAAAAAGATATATAACAATAATAAAGATATATGCACCCAACATCAGCACACTCATATATAAAAAGCAAACATTAGTAGACCTAAAGAGAGAGATAGAAAGGAATATAATAATAGCTTACTTCAACATTCCACTTTCAGCAATGAACAGATCATCCAGACAGAAAGTCAACAAAGGCACATCAGATTTAAAATGTATTCTAGACCAAATGGACATAACAGATATTTACAAAACATTATATCAAACAGCTATAGAGTTCACATTCTTCACAAATGCACATGGAACATTCTCCGGGAGAGATCACATGTTCATTTACAAAATAAGCCTTAACAAATTTGAAAAATCAAAATCAAGTATCTTTTCTGACCATAATGGAATTAAACTAGAAATCAATATGAGGAAGAACATTGAAAACAGTATATATAGAAATTAAACAAAATGTTCCTAAACAACAAATGGGTCAATACAATTTTTTTAATTTTAAAATTTCTTGAAGCAAATAAAAATTGAAACACCAAAGCTTATGGGATACAACAAAAGCAGTCCTTAGAGGGAAGCCGATAGCAATACATGCCTACATCAAAATAGAGAAAGAATCTCAAATAAACAACCTTGCAACACATTTCAAGGAACTAGAAAAACAAAAACAAAGCCCAAAAGTAGTAGGACAAAAGAATAATAAATATCAGAACACACATAAAATAGAGCCTAAAAAAATACAAAAGACCAGCAAAACAAAAAGTCTTTTTATAATAGACAATCTCAGAATCAACAAACCTGTAGCCAGATTAACTAAAAGAGAAGACTATAAAAAATAAAATCATAAATAACAAAAAGAGACCTTACAACTGAGACCACAAAAATAAAAAAATATCATAAGATTCTGCTATGAACAATTATGTCAACAGTTGGAAAGCATAGAAGAAACCAAGATTGAAGCAGTAATAAAAAGTCCCCCATCAAGTTTGGCACCTAATAGCTTCACTGCTGAATTCTACAAAACATTTAAAGATGAACTAACACCAATTATTTACAAATTATTGCGAAAAAGTAAAAAGGAGGAAACTCTTCTAAACTTATTCTACAAGGCCAGCATTACCCTGACATCAAAGCCAGACAATAAAACAACCACAAAAATTACAGCCCAATATCACTGATGACTGTGGATGCAAAAGTCCTCAACAAAATACCAGCAATCAGAATTTAACAGCACATTATAAAGATCATCCACTATGATTAAGTATGATTTATCCCAGGCATGCAAGAATGGTTTAACATACACAAAACAATAAAGTGATGCATCATATTAACAGAATGAAGGGAAAAAACCATACGATCACTTTAATAGATGTAGAAAAAGCATTTGACAAAGTTCAACACCCTTTACCATGAAAACTCTCAACAAATTAGGTATAGAAGGAACATACAACATAAAAAGGTCAAGTATGATAAACCCACAGCCAACATCATACTAAATGGGAAAAAGTTAAAGGTTACAACAATGTGTAAAAATAATTATACACAACAACTTAGTGGACTTTAATTCAGGTAAGCAAAATGGGCTCAACATTCGAAAATCAATTAAAAATCAATTAAGGTAATCCATCATATCAATAGGCTAAAGAAGAAAAAAATCACATAATTATATAAAAAGAGGAAGAAAAAGCATTTGACAAAATCCAGCACCCATTAATGATATAAACTCTCAGCAAACTAGAGAGAGTAACTTCCTCAAACTGATGAAGACCATAAAATAAAAACCTACAGCTAACATCATACTGAAATCTGAGAAAATAGGTGCTTCCCATTAATATCAGGATGACAGCAAGGATGTCCACTTTTAGCACTCCTATTCAACATTGTACTAGAAGTCATAGCTAAGACAGTAAGACAAGAAAAGAAAAGAAAACATATACAGATAAAAAAAAAAGAGAAATCAAACTGTCTTTGTTTGCAGATAACATGATTGTTTATGTGGAAAAGCCCAAAGAGGCAACAACAATAACAAAAACTCCTGGAACTAATAAACAATTATAGCAAAGTTGCAAGACACAAGATTAATATTAAAAAGTCAGTTGCTTTCCTATACACCAGCAATTATCAATTGTGATTTGAAATTGAAAACATAATACAATTAACATTAGCACCTTAAAAAAAACTTATGTATAAATCTAAGAAAATATATACAAATTTTATATAAGGAAAACTACAAAACTTTGATGAAAGAAATCAAAGAATAAATAGAGAGTAATTCCATGTTTATGGATAGGAAGACAATATCATCAAGATGTCAGTTCTTCCCAGCTTGATCTACAGATGCAACACAATCCCAATCAAAATTCCAACAAGGTTGTTGTTTCTTTTTTTTACAATTGAGTTTTATACAGTTGGATGAGTTATAATAATTGTGTATGCTCATGTAACTACCACCCAATTGAAGACATGGAATATTTCCATCATATAATCCCAGAAATTGTTTCTGTGCTTCTTTCTAATAAATTCCCCTACCACCTCAAGTAATTAACTTCCAACTTTTACTACCATAAATTAGCTTTCTCTGTTCTTAGGTTTTTAAATTTTTATTTTATTTTAGATTCAGGGATAATGTGCGGATCTGTTACATAGATATACTGCAGAATGGTAGAGTCTGGGTTTCTAGAGTACCCATCACGCAAACAGTGAACATACAATTGATTTTTGCATATAGATATTGTGTCGGGAAACCTTGCTAAATTCACTTATTAGTCCTATTAGGTTTTGTTTGCTTGCTTGCTTGTTTTAACAGATTCCGTCAGATTTTCTAAATGGACAATCAGGTCATGTGTAAATAAAGATGTTTTATTTATTTATTTCCTTTATCATTTGCTTTTCTTTCATTTTCATGTTTTACTGCACTAGTAAAAAGTTCCTGCGTAATGCTGAATAGAAGTGGTGAGATCACACCTCAGGGAAAAACATTCTGCCTTTCACTATCAAGTATGATATTTGCAGATTTTCCTAATTGTCTTTATCAGTTTGAAGATGCTTGTTTTTAGTCCACTAACTGAGAGTATTTATAAGGAATGGATGCGGAATTTTGTTTCATGCTTTTCCTGCATCAATTGATATGATCATTTGGTTTTTCTCTTATAGTTTGTTGTGAATTACACTGACTAATTTTCTAAGGTAAACCAACCTTGTGTGGCTAACACCCACTTATCCATGCTGTATTATCCTTTTCACATATTGTTGAATTTGGTTTGCTAATATTTTGTTTAGGATTTTTACATGTATGTTCATAAGTGACATTTGTAGTTCTCTTTTAACGTCTTTCTAGTTTTCTGATAATTATATTCTTGATCTCATGGAAAAAGTTGGAAAACCTTCCTTGTTCTTTAATTTTTTGGAGATATTTACTTCCTTAAATGTTCGGTAGCATTCATCAGTGAAGCCATCTGAACTTGAGGTTTCTTTGTGAGAAGGTTTTTAACTACAAATTCAATTTCTTTAATAAACACAGGACAATTCTGGTTGTCTATTTCTTCTTTTATTTTTAACATGGCAAGATTTCATCATAAGTCTATTTCTTCTTGAATGATATTTGTAATTATGTACTTTTCCCATTCTTTCTAAATTGTTGAATATATGAGGATAAAGCTATTCAGAATATTTCCATATTATCCTTTTAGTGTCTATAAAATCAGCACTGATGCTCCCTATTTCATTCATTGTATTGGTAATTTATCTCTTTCTTCTTTTTGCCCCAGGTTCTCCAGTTAGAAATGTATTGATTTTATCAATGTTCTCAAAGAACCATGGATTTCTGCTCTGAACTTTATTTTCTTTCTTCTGCTTACTTTGAGTTTAGTTTGTTATTTTTCTAGTTTCTTAAGGGGGAATTGAAGTCACTGATCTAAGAAATTTCTTCTGTTATAACAAAGACATTTGGGGATATAAATTTTGATATGTTGTGCTTTTACACCTTTTTTTTTTCCTTTGAGATGGAATCTCACTTTGTTGCCCAGGTTGGAGTGCAGTGGCACCATCTTGGTTCACTGCAACCTCCGCCACCTGGGTGCAAGCAATTCTTGTACCTCAGCCTCCCGAGTAGGTGGGACTACAGGCACCCACCACCATGCCCAGCTAATTTTTGTATTTTTAGTAGACACAGGGTTTCACCATGTTGGTCCGGCTGGTCTGGAACACCTGACCTCAACTAATTTGCCCACTTCAGCCTCACAAAGTGCTGGGATTACAGGTGTGAGCCACAGTGACTGGTCCAGCTTTTATGCTTATTTAATTTAAAATATTTTCAAGAACTTTTTTAGTTAGTTATTTGACTTATGGGTTATTTGGAATTATGCTATTTAGTTTCCAAATATTTGAGAATATTCTAGACAAGTTTCTGTTAGATTTCTAGTTTTATTCTGTGTGGCCACAGAATATACCTTGTATGACTTGAATCATTATAAACTAATTTAAACATGTATTTTGAATCAAAATATGACATATCTTGACAAATGTTCCATATGACTTGAAAACATGCATTCAAGCCTTGTTGTGTGGTATGCTCTGTAACTGACAATTAGATCAAGTTGGTTGAGAATGTTTATCAAGTCTTTTATATCTTCGCTGATTTGTTTTATCAAGTTTTTTTTATCAATTATCCAGAGAGGTATTCAAATCTCTAATTTCAACTGTGAATTTGTCTATTTCTCCTGGTAGTTCTATAAGGTTTTGTTTTGTTTTGCTTTGCTTCATGTATTTTAATGTTCTGTTATTTGGTTAAAAAAAAACATTTCAGAATGGCATGCCTTTTTTACACAATGACCATTTATTCTTTTTTGGTAATATTCCTTTCTCTGAATTTTATTTTGTCTCTTATTAATAGAGACACTTTCTGTTGACCAGTGTTAGTACTGCATATATTTCTTATTCTTTTACTTTTAATCTATCTGTGTCTTTGTATTTAAAATTGATTTATTGAAGGCAACATATAAATGAGGTCTTGCTTTTTTATCCAAGCTATCAACCCTGTTTTTATTGGGCTGTTCATAACACTTACATTCAATATGGCTATTACTGTAACTAAGTCTATCATCATGCTATTTGTCTACTATTTGCTTCATCTGTTTTTTCTTTTTTTCACCTTTTTCTTGTTTAATTCAGATTTAGTGTTCTTATGAATTCATTTTCTCTCCTGGCATATTAGCTATAAACTTTTGTTTTGATATTTCAGTGGTTTTTTAGGGTTTATAGACTACGTTTTTAACTTACCACAACACACCTTCATCTATACTATGATATACAGTATAACAAATTTCCAGTAATGTACTTCAATTTCTCCCATCCTTGTTTTTATGCTATTTTTTACATTTTTACTTATATAGGTTATAAGCCCCATAATACAATTTTTGTTTTAATAGTCAATTATATCTACAAGAGAGATAAATAAGGAAAACATCTTATGCATTAACTGATGTAGTTACCATTTCCAGTGCTCTTTATTCCACTGTACGGAGTTTGAATTTCCTGGTTCCATGGATCTACAGTTTTCATCATATATGACAAATTTTCAGCCATTTTTTTTTTTTAGAATTTTTCTCCTCACCCACCTTAGGGGCAATAACAGGTACATTAGTATACTTGAAGTTGTCCCACAGCTCACTGATGTTCATGTTTTTACATTTCTTTTTCTCTGCATTTCAATTGAATAGTCTATTACAGTACCATGCCTTCAACTTTATTCATCTTTTCTGCCATGATATCAAAACTTACATCAGTCCAAGTCAGTGCAGTTTTCATCTTCCACATTGTAGTTTTGATCTAAAAGTCTGATTTAGATCTTTTTTATATCTTTCACATCTCTACTTACGTTTTTGAAAAACTGAATATTTAAAAGTGTTTAACTGCTGGGTTACCTATTCCACACTTTTGAGGGAAGACCCTTCTAAATAATCTACTCAATGCCCCATTAATTCTGAAGTTTTCCAGGCTGGCTAATAAGGAAAGGCACCCTTCCAACCTTGATCGATTGCCACAGACTGACCTGCTATTCCTTTCATATATTTATTTCCCTGGACTCAAGTCTATTTTTTGCTCACATGCATATGGTGATAAGCACTTGGTTAAATATCCTATGGAGTCCTCGTGCAGGTCTCAAGGGTTCTTTCTTTGTGTAAATCTCTCTTTTCCAGGACTCTGTCCTGTACACTACAGATGATTTGGTCATCTTGTACTCTCAGCTCCTTGTCTTCAATTCAGGATGTCTACTGGGCCCTGCCCGCATTCCTGCTTCCTGCACTGAAGCCTGGAAATTCTCTCAAGGCAACCTTATGTGTTTCCTGTCTTTCAGACATCACTGTCTTTCATTACCTGACATCCAACATCTTCAAAACTGTTGTTTCATATATTTTCGTCCAGTTTTTGTTTCAGGAGGGAATGTAAACCCAGTAGAGTCAAAACATTTCTAATTTCGGAAATGAAATTTTGCTTATGACTTAAGTGACAGTAGGACTTCCTATTTCCTAAGAGTTATCAGACAAGGACTGGTTTTCAGTCAGGGAAGAGGACAAATTATACCCATCAAATAAATGTAGAGACATTACTAGAGAAAAAAATAAAATTATCTTTTCATTACATCCCACAGGTTGTTCTTGTTCATTGTACCAGTTATTCAACTACTGAAAAAATTTTCATGACCAGGAGTATGGGGTTTACTCATCCACACCATCCTTTACTGCTGTTGCTATAACTATAACCTCTCTTTATTAAACAATAGTTGTAAAACATTCTCATGGAATGAGACATTTACTTTTCTCCTTGGGAAGTTTTCCAGTCAACATTTTCTGTCCATCAGCTATCATTGGAGCTTAAAGAAAACCTGCTAGACCCTGGTCATATTAACTGCTCTCACAAAAGAGCTTGATAATGGAATCGGGATTCACTCTGAAAGTTGTTTCTGCAGCGCCACAGATACTGGAATTTTTACAGTATTGCCAAATTGGATCTTAGCTCTCCAGACACTGTATTTGATAGTACTCTGACATAAACCTAACTGGTCTGTCTTAGACTACATGGAACTCCTGAATCAAAGGCTTTAATCAAGAACTTTTTTGTACTACAGCAATAAAAATGTTTCCAAAAGCAAGAAAAACATTTATTGTCATTGTATAAAAAAGGGCCTTTGAATATTTCCTTGTTTCTAGACTTTTGTCAAAATTTCCATGTACTTAAAGCAGCCTAAAAATGAGTAAACACTTGATGCTTCAGTTAAAATATCTATTAAGTACCTATTTAGTGATGGGTAGTACACTGTGCATTGGGAATATAGAAATGAAGTAAATCAGTTCTGTCTTTAGAATGCATCAAGGCTGGAATGGGTCCCAGGGTTATACAGACAGATAAAAAGCAATTAAAGAGGCCAGGCACGGTGGCTTATGCCTGTAATCCCAGCACTTTGGGAGGCTGAGGCAGGCGGATCACCTGAAGTCAGGAGTTTGAGACCAGCCTGGACAACATGGTGAAACCCCGTCTCTACTAAAAATACAAAAATTAGCCAGGCTTGGTGCCTGATGCCTGTAATCCCAGCTACTTGGGAGGCTGAGTCAGGAGAATTGCTTGAACCTGGGAGGTGGAAACTGCGGTGAGCCGACATCGCGCCACTGCACACTCCATTATGGGCAAGAAGAGAGAGACTCCTCAAAAAAAAAGCAATTAAAGATTTGTCTTGTTACCATAAAATGTCATACCCATAATAAGCTATTATAGAATTTTTAAAACTGTAGAATAATCAAGTTTAAGTCACAGAAATGATCACTTTTTATTTCATTTTCCTTAAACCCTATCAAGCAAATTTTCATGTTTCCTACAGGAAAGTAATCTCAACCAGGAGTCAGGAAACTACAGTCCAAGGGGCAAATCCCTTCTGCCTCATGTTTTTATAAATAAAGATTTATTGGAACATAGTCATGATCAGTCATTTACATATTGCTTATGGCTGTTTTCATCCTGCCATAGCAGAGATGAGTACTGCAACAGAGGTTACATGGCCCTGGAAACTGAACACATGGATTATCTGGCCCTTTACGGAAAGTTTGCTGACCTCTACATTAGAGGATTAACTTCCCAGCTCTGCATCTAAACAAAGAGCTCTACCTAAACTAAGATGAAAACTTGGCTGCTCTGAAATCTGCAATAAAGAAAATTAGACAACCCAATACACGATTTCATATTTAACAATTGGATAATTTTTTACATGTCACCCACATCATTTTTGTTTGCTTGTATGAAGCCAATTGCTTTTACTCCACCTACAGAGAAGGTAGAGATCACCGGACCATTAAATCCTTCATTATAGTCCTCCACGTATGTTTGTATATATCACTTCTTTCCTCAGAAACCAAAATATTTTGAGAGTCTTAGCATCATCATAATGTAAATGGCATACTGCAAACGCAAATTAACTCATTTTACCTGCACATGACGTCCCAAATACACAATTTTTGTTAAATCTTTTCTTTGTATTACCTTGATTTCGTGAATATTAAGTGTCAGCTATCTCTAGAACTAGTTCTTGAGAGGTTTTCTTGGAGTCTTTTTGTAACAAGAGAACTAGTTCCTCAAAATCAATTTCTCACATTCTGCTTTTTTACCTTTACCTTTTGCAAATAGCTATTTACAAATAATTTTTTAAGCTACCTAATAGTTTATCCACAACCTAGCACATTTCTTCAAGTCATTCCATTTGGAATTGCTTGCAGTATATAGAGACACATTAAAATGTTACCAATTACTCCCAAATAGATTATGAGGCAGCTAAAAAGACTATGATAACTTAAAATATCAAGAAATTTAGAGAATATATGTACAGGAGAAAATAATTTGGAGCCAGGCAAGGTGGCTCACACCTGTAATCCCAGCAAGGGATTACACCTGTAATCCCCTTGTGAGGCCAAGGCAGGCAGATCGCTAGAGCTCAGGAGTTTGAGACTAGCCTGGGCAAAATTAGCTGGGCATGGTGGCACATGACTGTGGTCCCAAATACTATGGAGGGTGAAGTAGGAGGATCGCGTAAGCCTAGGAGGAGGAGGTTGCAGTGAATGAGCCAAGATCACGTCACTGCACTCTAGCCTGGGTGACAGAACGAGACCTTGTCTCCCTGTATAAAAAAGTTATACAGGAATTTTCAGCCTCACAGGGGCACAGGGGTTGGTGTTCCTAACTTCAGCATAGTTTATGGGTCAACTGTATAAATACATTTCCTTAAAAATAATAAGCCATTGGCATTAACAGATGTATCGTTCATAAAACAATAGTGGAGAAAACATTTTTCTTTATTTCTATTAAGATAGATTCAAATTGGTAGTAATTAGCTGCTATGATGAAAATACATTTAGATAGGAAATATTCATCCCTATAGAGCCCATTATTATAGGTGAGCTTTATTTCTACTTCAATTAACCTACTCCCTCCCCCAAATCATTCTGGAGTCTCAAAGCCCACTTAAGGCAAAATGAAATTGCCTAAAGTTTCCTGAGCTGAAGTAATGACTTAGAAAGAGTCCAGATTTCTGTTCAGGAATTTGAGTGGGTCAGTGAGTGAGCTGACAAGCTCAGCAAGTCATTTCCCAGACCTCACCACTGAATTCCTTAAACATAATTAGAAACATTAAACACCTTTGTGATTTTTCAGGGACTTTTACGCAGTTGCCTCTGTGGTATTATACTTTAACCATTTTAAACAGCATTATGCTCTATTCCCTAAATTATTCATGTCACTTCTCAGAAAAGTCAAAAATCAATTCTGAAATATCCAGAATAAAAAGGCAGAGCTACTTTTCTAGTTTAGTATTTTTTCCTTATTTCAAGACCAAGTAATAAGATGCAGTTCAATTAGATTTTTTAATTTGTTTTATGTCTTTACACAGCAACATTTGCACGTATTAGATGTAATAATATGCAATAAGAAACTGAATGTCATTACTCCAACTCCATCCTAATTGAGAAAAAAAACTTATTCCTCCATGGTTTTACCCCTAAAGTACATTCTGCTTGTATGGCAATCAATTTAACTTTCATTATTGCTTCTCTTTTGAACTCTCATTTTAAAGTAAATATTTATCTTTTTTAGTTTAAGTAATAAAACTCCATTGCTTTGTCCTAGCTCTAGATTTATTTTAGAAATGACTGGATAAAGATCACCAGTGTTTTATATATATACATATATATATAATATATATGTATATATTCATTTCCTTGATTTGGCCTTCTGAGACCAGATATAGAATAGTAGATGGAAAATACGAGGCAGGAGCTGCTTTCTAACAGTTTCATATGCAAGGACATGGTATCCATGAGAAAGAAAATACCATATAGACCAGAGATCCCCAACTCCCTGAGCCATGGACTCGTACCACTCTGTAGCCTGTTAGGAACCAGGAGTACAGAGCAGGAGATGAGTGGCGGGTGAATGAGTGAAGCTTCATCTGTATTTACAGCTGCTCCCCATCGCTTGCATTACCACCGGAGCTCCACCTCCTGTCACATCAGTGGCAGCATTAGATTCTCATAGGAGCATGAACCCTATTGTGAACTGCACATGTGAGGGATCTAGGTTGTGTGCTCCTTATGAGAGTCTAATGCCTAATGATCTGTCACTGTCTCCCATCATCCCCAGATGGAACCATCCAGTTGCAGGAAAACAAGCTCGGGCCTCCCATTGGTTCTACATTATGGTGAGTTGCATTATTATTTTATTATATATTACAATGTAACAATAATAGAAATAAACTGCACAATAAATGTAATGTGCTTGAATTACCCCAAAACCTTCCCTCTCTTCTCTGGTCCATGGAAAAACTGTCTTCCACAAAACCGGTCCCTGGTGCCAAAAAGGTTGGGCACCACTGATGTAGAATACTTGAAATATCAGTGCGTCTTTGCAGTTCCTCCCTCTGAACACTGACCACTTTAGGCATCCCACGTACATGGCTTTTGACATTAACTGTTTCCCTCAAACTGACTTTTTAAGTGCATAGCCAATCCACTTATATAGGATTCATATTCTAAAAGACTTCTCCAAAAGGTTTTATTGAAAATATTAGCAAAATATATCCATATTGAAAAATATCAGCCTTTGTGTTTCTAGTATTTACCTATGCAACTCTGAAATCATAGCTTCTGTTTCAGAAATTATTGTTGTATCTAGAACAGATGAAATTGAATAACAACCATAGCTATAACTTAATAAGCACTAAAATGGGCCAAACCTATAATAGATTAATCATAATATATTTAATCTCTATAAAAATCCTAATAATAGTTTCTCTTGAGAAATCCAAGATTTTTTTTAACAAAGGATCAAAAACAAATAGCTGGCCAGGCACAGTGGCTCACACCTGTAATAATCCCAGCGCTTTGGGAAGCCATGCAGGTCAAGAGTTCAAGACCAGCCTGGCCAACATGCAGAAACCCGTCTCAACTAAAAATACAAAAATTAACTGGGTGTGGTGGCACATGCCTATAGTCCCAGCTACTTGGAAGTCTGAGGCAGGAGAATCACTTGAACCCAGGAGGCAGAGGCTGCAGTGAGCTGAGATCATGCCACTGTACTCCAGCCTGGGCAACACAGTGAGACTCAATCTAAAAAAAAAAAGAAGAAAAAATCTAATAAATCACTAAGCTAGACTATGCATGAACATCTGAGCCTCAAACCAAAACCTATGCTCACCACTATAGAATATGATCTCTCATTAACAATGAACTCACTTAGTTTTAGACTTTTAGTAGTTTCTATATGAATACCAAAATGTTCTGAATGTGAATCTCCCTAAAATTAGCACTTAATCCAAGAATAGGCTAAATATTTCTGAGCAGAATGTCTATTATTTAATGTCTTAAATTATATATTATTTAAAATAATACCAACTACTGTAGGAAGCTCAAATGACAAGTTTACCTTCAGAAGAACCACAGTCTACCATGAATGTCTCGCACTTAGTTTACAATACTGAATGTAAACATTTCTTAAGAAAAATTTAGGATGTTATGGCTGAATGTCTCTTATTTGGAGTTTTAGAAATTTCTTTAAACCACAGGACAATTAGCAGCCCCTCTGGACATATCTCCTGCCCTGAACTGTTTTGCTCAGCTTCTCTTCCAATTCTCTACAAAGTTATCTTCTAGATCATTTCCATTGAATCCTAAAAGGTAGCATAATAATCCATAGATTCACAAAGCACTAAGCATTGAATGTAGTGGAATAAATAATGTGTCTTACACATATACTTGTTATTACATTTCAAATTTATGCAGATTTTACTGATTAACAAATTACAAGTTATGTGAAAGTATTATTTTCATAGCATTTTTGTTATGTCAACCACCATGAAAAATACTATTAAGTAATAAAATGTGAATGTTTCTATTAATTTATTTGTTACTTTAAAAAGAATTCCGCACAGCTGAAAAAGCTGGAAACAACTACACTAATCCTTAAACAGTAAAATTTCCATTCTATTAGGTTTATTGTAATTTGACCAGGAAAAGTAGTGTAATATCTTCTTCATAATTGTTCAAGACTGTAATACTAGACAAAGAAAAAACCCACAAGCAAAAGATTAAAAGCCCCTAAAATAAAATACTTCATCACCTTCACCTAAGAACCTAAAAGAGCAAAAAGCTCTAATACTGATATTTAGGATACCCTTCCATTCTCTCTTCCAGCATAAATAATATCCATTTTTTGCAGTCTGTTAATACAAATAACTGAGATAAAAAGCCTGAAAAGAAATGTAGTGTGGTCTGTGTTTCTTCCCAGTTACTGGCATGTGTCTTTGGAAGAATTTAGCAGCATGAAAGGGATGCATGGATATTTTAAGAAAAATATGCAAGAATCACTCTTTAATTACCATCACCAAAGATACTCAAACACAATACAACAGTAATTAGAGTGTGGAGCTATTTGCTCTGTAGTATTAAAGAATGTCAAGACTTCCATTATTTACAAAGCTGTATTTTTTCGGCCTTTCGTTTCACTTGCTCAAATTGATTCTGAAAAGATTTAGCTCCACCGTAAAACAAAATCGTTTTAAGACCCCAATATGTTGTCATTGCTAGAAATTGCCTAGATATTTACTTTATAGTCAGAAGTGATTAACCTTGATGAACTCTGAATTAATGTCCTTCCAAAAGTGATTTGAGAAAAATAATTCTGGCTGTTGGCTAACCTTTGACCCACATAATTTCCCTTAGTTTTTTATCCTGAAACAGTAGAAAGAAGTTAACTTTGAATGTATACCTGTCAGACAATCCCAGCTTCATTTTCTACCACTATATTATCTAACGCAAGTTGTTTGACTTCTTTGAATGCCCGCCAATAGATTTCCTTCACTGCCTAATGAGAATTACATCAATACTGTTTCTTTACCCACAACTGACATACAGTAGGATTTCGAAAAACATCCTATACTCATCTTCCTATGGGCTTTTTATTCACATCTCCTCTTCAGCTCTTAGCACTTGGCTTTGACCTCTTAGCACATGGATTTGACCACATCCATGAAATCTGGGGCTTACCTAGTATCAGCAAGAAGGAGGAAGAGCCAGTGAAACCATGATCATGGATCTGGCCAGTCCGGTTTGCAGCAGTTACTCTTCATTTGCTTAATTCATCCTCAATGGCATATGTTTATTTTCAAGAAACTTGTAAGTAGTAGTTGCTAGTCATATGACAAGATGAAATTCACATTTGTTTCAAATCCAGTCAAAAAGCTAAAACATATATCTATAATATTTTTTCATCTGTAACATCATGGCTTAAATTTAAAAAACAAAATGGCTGCCATCAATAAATGTTGCTGGAGTTCATGGAATTTTAAAAGCTGAATGTTTGGATGCTGTGAATCAGCTACGCAAAAATCTTTCACAATTTTGTTTTCCCTGAATTTTCTCTGAAATGGAGCCTAGAGTGTTAAGAAATCCTTCCAGCATCCCCCACAGCTGAGTTTAGCCATGCAACTCACTTCCAGCCAGTGAAACATAAGCAGAAGTCATTAGACAGGCTTTCTAAAATGAAAAAAGGTATACATTTTGGCATTTAGCTTTTGCCATTTATTCCTTCCCTTTCTTCTACCTGGAATATGGATACAATGCCTAGAGGTACAACAGCCTTTTGGAACCATGGCCATAAAAGACACAGTTTAAGCACAAAAGGAACTGAGGTATGAAGCCATTATACTAATCAACCAGCCTAAGATATCCTACTTCCAAATTTCTTGTTGTATGATATAAATAAACCTCGTATTCATTTTACCACTATCAGTTGAGTTTTCTGCTATTTCTAATTAAAACTTATCCCAGTGGATGCAGCCTGAGCGGAGAATAGAATTTTGTTCAACAGAGAAGAATGAGAAGGAAATCCAGGTGGGAAAAAACTGGAGAAAACAGCCATATCCAAAAATGAACATCCTGTATTTGGGGGAAAAATGAACATAACAAATTCACTGAAGTCAAGGATATATAGGAGGTAGTAATAGAGAAAATGGGTTTGTATCTATGGGAAGGGGTCCAAATATAGTCTCTGAATATCCACAAAGAGTGGGAAATAGAGACTCATTGAAGGGTTGATGGGGCAAGAGAGGAGGGGATTTAAGACACGTATATAGTAGTCTGCAAGGAATTTTTCAGTTGCTTAGTCCTCATATACATAGGGCTGGTATATGTCATTTTTAAAGACCTGGAATGGCACATCTATTCAGCATCTATTTCTAGTAATTGTTCCATGTAATCTCTGAAGCAGCCCTGATACTTGATCCAGAGTAAAACTAGGAAGAGGACTCAAAATAAAAAAGCAAGGATGTATTTATCCCTTAGGCACTTTTCTTTTCTCTTTTGACACAGAGTCTCTCTCTGTCACCCAGGCTGGAGTACAGTGGCGCAATCTCAGCAATCTCATTGCAACCTCTGCCTCCTGGGTTCAGGAGATTCTCCTGTCTCACCTTCCCAAATAGCTGGGATTTCAGGCACACACCACCACTTCTAGCTCAATTTTTGTATTTTTAGTAGAGATGAGGTTTCATCATTTTGGCCAGGCTGGTCTTGAACTCCTGACCTCAGGTGATTCATCTGCCTCGGCCTCCTAAAGTGCTGGGATTACAGGCGTGAGCCACCGCACCTGGCCCCTTAAGCACTTTTGCTCTTTACATGGTATATAAACTCTTTACTTGATGTTATCTCCCATATCACTTCCGTCACCAACTGATTTAGTCATTCCAGACCACTATAACAAGATACTCTACATTGGGTGGCTTAAACAATAGAAGTTTATTTCTCATCGTTCTAGAAGCTGGGAAGTTCAAGACTGGAGTGCTGGCAGATTTGGTGTCTGGTGAGGGCCTTTTCCTGGTATGTCCTCACATGGCCTTTGCTTGGTGCATGCACAGAGACTGGGGGGTGAAAGGAGGTTCTTGTCATTTCCTCTTCTTCCAAGGGCACTAATCCCTCCATGAGGGCTCAACCCTCATGACCTAATTACTTTCCAATGCCCCAATTCCAAATACCATCACATTGGGGATTAGGGTTTCAACATACGAATTTCAGGGGACACTTACATTCAGTCTATAGCACCAACTAATGCTGTAATGGTGGCAACCAGTCCCCAGTACCTGCTGCACCTGCAAAACAGATCAAATTGGACTTTATCACTCCAACCTTTATGCTACACATTGGAAGAACATGTAGGCCTGAGCATGGGTTCCCCCAGAAGCAGAAGCTGATATAAGTATTGGAGTCCAAGTCTTTTATTTGCGGAGGGAAAGAACAACAGTTAGGGAGTGGAGAAGTCAGTGAAGGATGATGAGGCATTCAATAGAGACAGTTTCTAGAGCTCAATCCCACTGGAAAAGCCCTAGATTTAACCTGAGAAGGAAGGAACATGGTATATTTATCAGTCGTTGGTTGGGCAATGTCAATTCTCCTGCACTTTGGGCCAGTCATGGGCACAGGCAGAGGTGCATTCTTTAGCAGCAGAGAAAGTCCTCTGGAAGTCCTCCAGCAGGCCACAGTGTCTGGAAGTCTGATGGCAGGCACTAATGTAGTAAGGAAATAAGAGTGGAAAATATGAGTGGAGAACTGTATTAGTCCATTTCATGCTGCTGATAAAGACATACCCAAGACTTGGCCATTTACAAAAGAAAGAGGTTTAATAGACTTATAGTTTCATGTGGCTGAGGAGGCCTCACAATTATGGTGGAAGGCAAGGAGGAGCAAGCAAGTCACATCTTACATGGATGGCAGCAGGCAAAGAGAGAGAGCTTGTTCAGGGAAACTCCCCCTTATAGAACCATCAGATCTTGTGAGACTTACTCACTATCATGAGAACAGCACAGGAAAGACCTGCCCGCGTGACTCAATTACCTCCCACTGGGTCCCTCTCACAACATGTGGGAATTCAAGATGAGATTTGAGTGGAGACACAACCAAATCATATCAAGAACCAACAGCATGCTTGGGCTGGCCAATGACTAAGAGTCCAGGGATGATTTTAAGCAGCAAAGTTCTAGTTCTGCAGAAACTATAAAATGACCCAAACACAGGAATTGAGGAGAGATCGAAAGATTAAGGACACACCAGCAGAGCATAAGACTCTAGTTTTCCTTTCTTTGCTGTACTTTAGAAACCAGATATGAAACCCAAAATTCCTCCAGAAAGTAGCAAAGAGGGAATACTCAAGTAGGACTTGGTTATACTCTAGAAAAATTATAATAGTTGTAAAAAATGCCCTTTTAGATAAAAGTAAAAAAAAATACTGGTTAAAATAACAAGGGTAAGAATTATTCCTTTCACTTTTGACAAACCCAGGATGTAATCAATATGGTAAAGAATAAGTATGTAATCAATATGGTAAAGAATAAGTCAAACATTAAGATCAGAGTCTAACATCTTAATACTAGGCAAGAATCAGTAGAGGAAGCCATGCTTGGAAGACTCCATTGTGCTAAGAACTTCCACCGCTGTAACTTTTTCTTTCCCTCTAACAAACACCAATATAAGACTTACTATGTGACAGGCACTGTTCCATAGGTAAAACAAAATAAAATTAAAATAAACTAGAACTAAATAAAACAAAATAGAAAGAAAAATAAAACTCAATTCCTTCTCCTGTATCTATGAATTACTTACTACGATTTATCCCCATTTTACAGATAGAAGCATGAAGAGGTTAAGGAACATCCTGAAGCAAAATCTATCTCCAAAGTACATGGTTTTAACCATTATAGCCGTCTGCCCTCCTCCAAATGATAATTTGATAGATACTGTATATGGTTGTGCCTAAAATCCATATTACTAAGACAAGTTTTTGCCTTCTTATTACTATCGCTGGCCTATCATTAGGCTACAGAGGGAAAGTCAGGAGAGAAGAGCTGAGTCTGCTAGTCTAAGTGTAACAATCACATCATCTCTATCTCCCAAATGTTTGGTATACAGAAACAGGCTCAACTGGCTAAAGTAAGAGTAAAGTAACTGAGACTCACACTAGAGAATCTTGAATGCCAACCACAGGGTTCATCTTTATTATCCTGGAAACACAATCATAAAGAATTATTGAAGAATCTGAGCAAGAACTTACAAGCATGTACCTGTGGTCAGGTGTCAGACTGAGCAACACAAATAGTGGCTGTGTAACAGTCAATGTCAGGCAAGAGGGATTCCAGAAAAATCACAACTATCTGGAAAAGTCTACCTCCTCCTGAGGTCATGACATAATTGCTACTGTCATTCTATTCTTCTAAAATGCAAAATCCTATAAAGCAATAACAGTTAGGTTCACACTGAAGAAAAGACAGCTCAGAATTGTCATGTAAACATTCATCATCATAGACGCCAATTATGTTCTCCGGATCCTTGAATTCATTCTCAAAGCAGAGAGAAAAATGTTATTTTCTTTCAATAAGAATCAGCTGGAATGACAAACATTCTTTCCTCAAGGTTGGGTTCCAGCTAGACCCAGAAAGGTGTTCAACAGCTGGTTTCTCACATCTCCATTTGACAGCCAAAGACTTTTGGACAGTACTCACTTTGATATTAATGAGTTTGGGGATTGGTAGCTTGAGTTATGTGTCTCTAGTGATCTAATTTCTATAGGATCTCACCATTCACACTTATCTTCACATTTTGCTACCTGCAAACATATCCCAGAAGTGCTCTGCAGAGTTGACTGTCTCTCAGGATCCCTGTGGTTTTTTTCTATGCATGCCCAATTTCCAATGCCAGAAATGTTGCTTAATCGGTGTGGGCTAGAACCTGAGGATGTACATTTTTTCAGATACCGCAGGTGACTCTGATGCAAAGCAGGGTTGAGAACTACACCACAGCAGTAAAATGATAATGGTTGTTAACACTGTTTGCATTCCTGCATGTGCCATTCAGGGACTTGGCTAAAGGATTTAAGTGTCTTAACTCATTTTTATCTTCATTGCCACCCTCTGAGGTTGGGACTATTATTACTTCCATTGTTAAGAAATCTGAGGCAGAATTAAACTGGGTAACTTTCCCAAGGTAATATGGTGTATCCAGGATTTAATCCCAGGCAGTTTGCCGTAAATATATACACATGTTCCTTACACCAGCTAAGAAAAAGCAGTTATTTCTATAGCCCATGCAGTAGTTTAAGATCTTAATTCTTAAAGTCTTAAAGCTTAAATAATTTAACATTTAAATGAAATTGGCTTGAATTATCTGTATTATATTGCATATTTGAGATGTCTACACAGGGGCTGACAAGTGGTCAGTTCTGACTCCAAGGTGTGGCTTTCACCAAATTAGCTCAGTTCAAGCAGCATCCTATCTACTGCATTCACTTGCCCATGTTTCATTCATAAGGAAATAAAGAAAAAAAACTAAACTAAATGGTACGTTTTATAGGGTAACGTATAGCAAACTTCTTTACTGATTTCTTAGGTGAAACAGAGAGTTTATTACTTTTTAAGTGTAGCAAGATAACTTAAGATTGAATAAGGATTCCCTTTTATTAAAATTTCTCCAGGCACCTGACTAAGCTGGTTGCTCAGCCACACCCCATTGTCTTGTTTTCTCTCTCAGTTTCCTTCTGTCTTATCTAGTTTTTTGCTTTTCCATCACCCCTGCATTTCTCTCCATTCTGAAGTAAAGGCTGGGTGCAGTGGCTAACACCTGTAACCCTAGCACTTTGCAAGGCTGAGGCAGGCAGATCGCTTAAGCCCAGGAGTTTGAGGTCAGCCTAAGCAACATGATGAAAACCCGTCGCTCTAAACAAAGAGAAATACAAAAATTAACCAGATGTGGTGGCATGCACCTGTGGTCTCAGCTACTAGGGAGGCTGAGGTGGTCAGATCAATTGAGCCCAGGAGGTCAAGGCTGCAGTGAGCCAAGACTGTGACCCTGCACTCCAGCCTGGATGACAGAATGAGACCCTATCTCTAAAAATAAAAATAAAGACATTTAGCAATTGCATTGACTATCTGAGGTGTAGTCTTCAGCCTTAGTGGCCCACCATGAAATACTTACATTCAATTATAAGTGGCTTATCAAAGTATTTTCTTACATAAAGGTAGTGCTTTTCCCTGGATGATATTGTTTGTTTTGCTTGTTTTTAATCTTTAAGAATGTTTTCTTCACCAGGGACAGGGCCGTGTCTACCGTTTTACAAAATAAATATGAGATACAGTCCCTAATCAAAGGGTTGACAGTTTAGGTGGTGAGGTAAGACCATACGATTTGATTATGAATGACACAAGAAAAACTATAATGATAACAATATAAAATATACTAAACATCAGTTGGGATATATGACTGAATATAAATGAATGAAAAATGTAAAAACATTAAAAGTTGAATTAAGAAAAAAAGATGATTTAATAAGAAATGAGTACACACATAAGAGCCCTGGGAGTATTGTAAACTTGGAAATTCAGAGAAGAGAAAAAATAGAGTCCAGGGAAGTAAAAGAAAATATTACAGAGAAGAGGACACTTTGGCTAAGTAGGAATCAGAGGATCAGGAATATGAAGTGGAAGACGTTTGTATCTCACCCCAGATCAATTCAATCAGAATCTCCCCGGATGGGACCTGAAGCGTGATCTATAGTCCAAACCCTCCAAGTGATTCTAATACATACCCTTTTTAATCATCACTGTTTCATCTAGTGCCTCATGGTTCACCTACTGAGAAAAATGTCAGTCAGGGTAATGCAATTCATGACAAGGGATTATCTAATATGGGATAATTTGTCAAATTTTCTAATTGTCTTTACATTATAGACACAATAGGCTCAAAATACTGCATCTGGACAACATGGCAAAACTCCGTCTCCCCAAAAAAAAAATTTTTTTTAAAGTTTTTAAAGATCTAGTATATTCTAAATTATAACCAGAAGATGGGTTGGGAAATGCTCCTGAATTCTTATAACATTTTACTGTGTGTCATTGTGCTAGTTATACATTAGCAGCAGCAGCCTTGGAAGTGGGTACCTGTCAACTGCCTGTCAGATGGACAAAGCTTACCATGTAAGAGAAATACTGTAGAAGCACTACATGCTTCCAGCTTTCATGGACTGTGAATTGTTATTGGTAAAATACGGACAATAACCAAATCAATGTGATTCAAAATAATACTGGAATTTGTTTCCAGAACAAAATCAATAAGCTTCCAGAAGAAGGATTCCAGGAAAGACTTCCACTTACAGTTATAGAGGACTACCTGCAATCGGCTAGCTGTTGCTGAAAACAACTAGAAATCCTGGATATAAAAAATATTAACTAATTAATTTAAAACCTGAAGGCAATGTGCAACCAAAGTTTCAAGGACTTGACAGCTGACATCCCTGAGAGAAGGGAAGTACAGAACAGTAACTCCCAAATTCATCATATTTTTCCTCAAGTCATTGACTTTTTTAAAAAATTCTATTTTTTAATTGACACATAATAATGGTACACATTTATGGCATACATAGTGTATTTTTGATACATAAAATGTATAGCGATCAAATCAGGGTAACTGGCATAACCATCATTCAAATATTTACTATTTCTTTGCTTTGGGAACATCCAATAGCCTCTTCTAGCTATTTGAAAAAATATATATTATTAACTACAGCCATCCTTCAGTGTTATGGAACACTAGAACTTATTCCTCCTAACTAGCTGTAATTTTGTCTCCTTTAACAAATCTCTCCCTATGTCCCCTCTCCCCTCTCACTTCCCAGCCTCTAATATCGCTGTGCTACTTTTTACTTCCATGAGATCAACTTTCTTAGCTTTCACATATGAGTGAGAACATGCTGTATTTATCTTTCCATGATTGGCTTATGTCACTCAACGTAATGTCCTCCAATTCCATCCATGTTAGCAGGGATGACAGGAATGACAGGATTCCATTCTTTTTATAGCTGAATGGTATTCCACTGTGTATATATGTTATATTTTCTTTACCCATTAATCTGATATTGTATACCTGGGTTGATTTCAAATCTTGACTATTGTGAATAGTGCTGCAGTAAACACAGGGGTGCAAATATCTCTGATATACTGATTTCCTTTGCTCTGGACAAATATCCAGTAGTGGGATTGCTGGGTCACATGGTAGTTTTATTTATACACATAGATTTTTTTTTAAAGTGCTGGCTGACAGACTAAAAAGCCACACAGGAAGCAGCAACTCAAAGGCTGAAAAGGTGAGCAGAGTTCAGCAGGGAGTTCAGTGGTTCATGAGACTGAGAAAACAAAAATTGGAGAGGGAAGGAGCTTAGTAAACACTCCTAGCTTTCAGCTGGGACTCATGAAGGGCTATGCTATTGGAGAAAGGGCAACTAGATATAGAACAGCTCTTCTAGAAACTTAAATAGAGCTGCAAATCAACTTAATTCCCAAAGAGATTGAATTGTTCTTCTTCAAATTACCTGCATACAAGAAACAAAGGCAAATTCTCTGTGTGAGAACATAACATTGTGCAGATCCCCAAAACTGTTCTATAATTTTCACATACAACTACAAAAAATAGTCATTTCTGTAAACTAGGGAAAAAAATTTATCCTACACCATAATTATGAAGATTGTAGAAGTCTGTAAATTACCTGGTACACTGATGCTCAACAAATGAAAACTCTAAGAATGGGCAATAAGAATATATTTATAGAATATGTATTTTTAAAATACTTCCTCTTATTCTTTCTACAAGAGACACTGGGGAGCTGATTAATAACTTTGTGTTATATGAGACAAAGGTGTGCTGGCTTTATGATTAGACTAACACTAGCATTAGAAACTACAGACAGATACTTTCTCTTGTCAGCGCCTAAGCAAGAAACCAGAAGTCAGCAAAGACAGCAATTCTGCATGAATGAAGCGAGCACAGCTTGAAAAGCACTTAAGCTGCACTTTTCTAGCCATTGTCACCATGTCAAATCCCAAGCTGTTATGTTTATCATTAAATAAAATTTCTGCATATAACATCACAACCTAATGTTTCATAATTGAGGGAAACTACCCTTTCACTATGGGTGTTCCTTAACAACTAAAAATGGAAATGCATTATCCACACTTTTAAAGACTCTACATTGTACTGCACTTAGAATGTCAGAAAATAGGCCAGGTGCAGTGGCTCACACCCATAATCTCAACACTTTGGGAGGCTGAGGCGGGTGGATCACTTCAGGTCAGGAGTTGGAGAGCAGCCTGGGAAACATGGCAAAACCCCATCGCTACTAAAAATACAAAAATTAGCTGCGCATGGTGGTGTGCACCTGCAATCTCAGCTACTTAGGAGGCCTGAGGCAAGAGAATCGCTTGAACTCAGGAGCTGGAGGTTGCAGTGAGCCGAAATCACGCCACTGCACTCCAGCCTGGGTGACAAAGACTCTCTCTCTCAAAAAAAAAAAAAAAAAAGTCAGAATAGTGTGGACATTAGGAATTAAATGTACCTCGAATTGATTAAGTGCTTGAAAACATGAGTTCTCATTTTTATATCTTCAAGAATTGTGTTTTGGTGTTTATATACTAGTGGCTAAGACTATAAGGCATAAGAAACCTAAGTGCCAATAACAGCCGATGTAATACTAAATTTAGGTAAAATTAAGGTTAAATTTAGTAGAACTCTTGGCTTCAATTTAACTTGTGCCATTTAGTCAACAGATTTGAAATATCCAAATGCTACTTTCTAGGCCATATCCAAGAAATAACTATGCCCAGAATAACTATGTCCAAGATTTTAGAAATACCACAGCATAGAAAGTATATTGATGATATATAAGATGCCAAAAAAATTTGGATTAAAATGTTTTTATAAATAAACAACTGTTTACAACTATTATGCCACAAACACTGCATTGGTAGTGACACATTTGAGAGGAGGCACTAAAAAAGGTTGGAAAAATTATGGTTATTCAAGTCATATTTTTCTTACAGTTCTCACTCTGGAGCTCTAATAAGACATTCAAAGAAGTAAGATGTTCCTAAGTACAATAAAATTACTGTACTCTGTATGATAAATTTCTTTCCCCCAAAGGATAGAGAAAAATTGATAGATGCATGGAAAGTTCATGACTTCTGATGAGTGCCAATAACAGACAAAACATGGAATATAGAATAATAAGATAGAATAAAAAGGGAATGAAAATGGCATATATTGAGAGTTTCAAACAAGTATCAAACAGACAAGATTTTTTGATGACAGAAAAATGAAATACTAGATCCTTGATTTTTAAACAATTTTCAAAACCACTTCCACCTTAAAATGTATTTGGAGAATGGCAAACTAGACATAATAGCAGTTGAGTATTTCAGCAAGTGCACAACAATTTTTGGCTGAAGCACTCTTTTTAGTTTAAGAAAGATTCAGTTTATAATAGTAACAAAAACTAGCAAATACTTAAGAATTAACATGAGAATATTCAAGAGATATATAAACAAAGTTATTATATTTAAACCTTATTCATGGGCATAAGATGAGACCAGAACACAGAGAGAGGAACACCAGAACACCATGTTTTGGATTGAAGGGAAAAGTACCATAAGCCTATTTATTTTTCTTAAATAAATCTATCAAACCAATGTAATTTTAATCAAATGCAAACTTTCATTTTATAGAACTTTCCGAAGTTATTCTACATTCAATTGAAAAAGTAAATGGACAAAATAGGCAATAAAATCTTAAAGAAATAAAAAAGAATAAAGAATTATTCACTTGACTACTCAAATACCAAAACATAACAGAAAGTTTTGGAACCCCAAGGAACAGTGAAGTAGATAAATCACCCTAAACAGTGCAAAACAGACCTATGCACATACAAGGAATTCATATATAAGCAAGTGACATTTCAGATAATTAGGGAGGGTTGCATTAAAATAGTCAGCTATATACTTAAAAAACTAAAGACAGATCTCTATATCACTCATCTAGAAAAATAAATTCCTGCCATACTAAGGATCTAAATGTGCTGGCAGTGGTGGCTCACAACTGTAATCCCAGTACTTTGAGAGGCCGAGACAGGAAGATTGCTTGAGCCCATGAGTTCAGAAACAACCAGGGCAACACAGTGAGAACCTATCTCTACAATAAAAAAAAAAAATCTAATTAGTAAGTCATGATAGCGTGTACTTGTAATCCTAACTACTCAGGAGGCTGAGGTGGGAGGATTACATGAGCCCCAGGAGTTTGAGGCTGCAGTGAGCCATGATCTTGCAGCCACTGTATTGCAGCTTGAATGACAGTGACAACCTGACTCAAAAAAATAATAATAAATAAACATCTGAATGTAAACAATAAAAATATAAACTTTTAGAAGAAAATCTAGGAAATTATATTTTGATAGGAAAGGCCTTAAACAAAACTAAATCCCAATACCATAAAAATTTATAATTTGACTTTTAAAAAGCCAAATTTTGAATCACAAAAATCTCTTAACTATACTGTATAGAGAATACCTATAAATTATTTTTAAATAAATATAAATGTCCCTGGGATATATGAATAAGAAATTAACAGAAGAAATACAAATTTCAAATAAACATTTGAAATGATAAAATCATTAGGAAACATAGGAATTCAAATTTATCATCAGCCTAGCATAAATTTTAATAACTGATAAAATTTACTGTTGTCATGTCTTTATACTACTGGCAAGAATGTAAAATATCACAACCATTTTGGAGAACATTAAAATGTGCACAAACATAGATCCAGGTATGTCGCTGCTATAAATTTATCCCTCAGAAATACTTCAATATGTGCACAAAAGCATTTATGAAAGCATTGCTTATAATAATAAAAATTAAGATAACTTAAGTGACTCAATTTAAAAAATTGTATATATTATGATAATCTACTATGTGGAATTATATTTAGATGTTAAAAAGAAAATGGAATACCTATGTGTTCTAACATAAAACATTCTCCCAAAATATAAGTAAAATAATTGAGGTGGCACACCATATATATATTCAGATACCACTGTGTTTGAGAAATACAGACATATTATGCATACACATGTAAATTAAAAGAAAGCTATCTGAAAATATTCAATATTAATAGCAGTTAACCTTAGGAAGTAAGAGATAACTTCCTTTAAACTATGCATAGAGTACATGGCAAAAAATTATAGCCAATCCACTTTATTACATTGTAATATGTACTTAAGAAGTCTATACTGTCAACAAAATAATTTGATACATAATATGTAACTAACCTTATATACTGACATTTTTAATTAGTACAGAAAAAAAGCAATACTGACATGCATCCACAGAAATGGAATTTTGAGTTTTCATTTACATTCTCAGTTTTACAGAAATATATCTGTGACAGTAGTCTTCAGATGTAGAAACTCCAAACTATGGAATCAAAATGAAGCCAAGCTTAAAATTATCATTCTCCTCATCAGTTCTATAATATTCAAGATCAAAATTAATCTTGCAGAAGGTAAAAAGATACCGTATATTTATTTTTTAAATGGTTATTTTGCTTTTGCAGTTTGCATACATTCATAGGGAAACTTTAATAACACTCTAGTTTTATGTAGAGTGTTATTTTCTTTTAACCAATATTTTAATGCATTTCAAGGAGACTGGCTATTTATGCTGTAATAACAATCTGAAAATGGCTAGAACAAATCCTCCAAATCTTTATAGTAAATACAATCTCAATCCAATTTCTAATACATATTTATTTTTTGACTGGGGAATAGCATACTGATTTTAAAGTTCATAAGGGAAAGTAAGTACTCAAGGCAAACCTATACATTTTTGAAACAAAAAAAGCAAGTAATCTCAAAACTTACAATAAAGACTTAGTAATTAAAATGGCTTGCTGTTAATTCAGAAATAAGCATAAAAATGAACACACGCTTATACTTTCATATTCATTGAGAATGTGATATATAAATTCTTATCAATAAAGAAATAGAGAGCCATTCAGTAAATGCTATCAGACAACTGGCTATTTGAGAAAAAATAAGCTGTACTCATTAAAACTAAACATAGTGAATACAAAACAAATATTCCAACAAATACAGTAATAATTTATAAGATTTAGGTGAAGAACTTTGTAAGCAAGATGAGAACCATAAACACTAAGGTCACCAAAATTAAAATTCAGTTTAACACAAATACCATAAGCAAAGATTAAAATCTACAAAAACACTGAAGCTATATGTGCTCTATGAAGCAAATAATATCTATATTACATCAAAAGTTCCTATAAAGTTATAAAAAAAAGACAAGTATCTCAACAGAAAAAATGGACAAATAATATAAATTGGCAATTTAGCTAGGAAGAAATATAAAACTTTATATGTGAATGAACTTTAAGCCAGCCAGTCTGCTTCTGGGAGACCATTCCACAGAAATATTAGAAATTAGTACCAGCACAAACACGAAGTTTCCATTGACATCCTACTTGTCATAGAAAGAAATCTTTATTTGTCCTTTAAAATGAAAATATTCTGGATATTAACCCTTTGTCAGATGGATAGGTTGCAAAAATTTTCTCTCATTCTATAGGTTGACTGTTCACTCTGATGATAGTTTCTTTTGCTGCGCAGAAGCTCTTTAGTTTAATTAGATCCCATTTGTTAATTTTGGCTCTTAGAACTTAAACAAATTTACAAGAAAAATACAACCCTGTCGAAAAGTGGGCAAAGGATATGAACAGACACTTCTCAAAAGAAGACATTTATGCAGCCAACAAACATATGAAAAAAAGCTCATCATAACTGGTCATTAGAGAAATGCAAATCAAAACCACAAAGAGATACCAACTCATGCCAGTTAGAATGGTGATCATTAAAAAGTCAGAAAAAAACAGATGCTGGACAGGATGTGGAGAACTAGGAATGCTTTTACTCTGTGGGTGGAAGTGTAAATAAGTTCAACCATTGTAGAAGACAGTATGACAATTCCTCAAGGATCTAGAACTAGAAACACCATTTGACCCAGCAATCGCATTACTAGGTATACACCCAAAGGATTATAAATCATTTTACTATAAAGACACATGCACAAGTATGTTTACTGCGGCACTATTCACAATAGCAAAGACTTGGAACCAACTGAAATGTCCATCAATGATAGACAGGATAAAGAAAACGCGGCACATATACACCACGGAATACTATGCAGTCATGAAAAAGAATGAGTTCATGTCCTTTGCAGGGACATCGCTGAAGCTGGAAACCATTATTCTGAGCAAACTAACACAAAAAACAGAAAACAAAACACTGCATGTTCTCACTCATAAGTGGGAGTTGAACAATGAAAACACATGGACACAGGGAGGGGAACATCACACACGGGGGCCGGTTGGGGGTCGGGGGTAGGCAAGGGATAGCATTAGGAGAAATAACTAATGTAGATGATGGGTTGATGGGTGCAGCAAACCACCATGGCATATGTATACCTATGTAACAAACCTGCACATTGTGCACATGTACCCCAGAACTTAAAGTATAACTTTAAAAAAAGGAAAACATTTAACCAAACTAAACAACAACAGACTATCACGAAATCATTTAGGGAATGAGGAAAATCATATACTACACCCAAGAGGGGAGGATTTAATTGGCCAACCCAAGGCCACATAATCAAAAGCAAGTTGCTGAAGAATACCATGATATAATCTCGTTAGAAATAACGAAATGGCAGAAAACCAAATACCATATGTTCTCACTTAATGGCAGCTAAATGATGAGAACGTAGGAACACAAAGATGGAAACAGACATTAGGGTCTACTTAAGGGTAGGGTGTGGGAGGAGGGAGAAGAGCAGAAAAGATCACTGCTGGGTACTGGGCTTAATTTCTGGGTTATTAAAAATAACCTCTACAAAAACCACTGCAATGAAACTGTACTGCTGCTGAGTTCTTTTAAAGATACAAAAACTAGACAATGCCCATACTGTTTAAAATATTCCAGGAATAGACAAAATGTGAAGCACCCTAATTCTTATTATGCAGCTAAAACAATCTTGAAAATAAGATTAGCAGGCGATAAGCAAACAGACAAAAAATGTCAGATTAATCTGACATGTAATACAATCAAACAGACTAAATAAATACCATACAAATCAAATCAGAAATGTATTAAAAGTATAATATATAATGAACAAATAGAGCTTGTTACTAGTTTTATATTAATATATCTACCAATACATGTATTAATAAGTAAAATAGAAAGCACAGGATTACCTTGATAGATGCTGAAAAGTCATTTGATACAAATCAGATTTTTTAAATCTCAATAGAACAAAATAGAAAATACTTTTGTGGTATACCAGCAGATATACAACATTGGTTGTCTACATTGGTTGTCTACACTGGCTGTCTACACATTAGCCATTCTTTCATCCTTCCTTCCTTCCTCCAGAACCACCCCTCCTTCCTCTGGCCTTTCATGATTCATTCCTTAATTAGCAAAAGTCTTCATTGTTCCTTTCTAGGGAAATAAAGTGTTTCCCATTCTCCCCTTTTATGAATGTGTAGACAATAGTAATGGATTAGCGTTTGTAATCCATTAATGTGTATGTGAAAAAGAAGATTAAGATCTATTTTCTCTACAAACGTGAACTATGGGGAACCAGATTGATACTTGAGGGAGAAAAATTACACATCATCCAAAGACACTGGGCATGGAGTTAGATGCAATAACTGAATAAGATCTTGGAGTCCGTTCCTGTGAGAAAGATGTTAACAAGTTAACAAGGTGTGCAATGAAGCAGGTGGCCATTTAGCTGAGTCCTGTGGGAAACCCTCTAAGGAACTGTGGAGAAAAAGCCTCCAAATGTCCCTGTAGAGGGATTCTGGGTCATGTTTCCATCAACGCACATCCTCTGTTGATGAAGGATTGCCCCAGTGTATGACCTCTCTTTGAACTTCAAGGTTGCACCTGCTTGCAGCTGAATGGCTTGTCCAGGTTTCAAGAAAGCAGAACAGTGTATGCCTACAGAGTACTTGGTGCAGAAAGCAGACAAGGGGAGGGAACTGTCCACGACTTTAGTGCTGAAATCAAGTGGACAAAAGAGTTGTGACAATTTGCACCCCAAGTGTCTGCCATACAATCCAAATAAAGGTTTTTGAGAAAGGTAAATGCAAACCAGTTAATGAATTTATCTAATTAATAAAATAATATATCTGAAGTTTATCAGAGTTACTCAGGGAAACTGGGAAACAAGCAATCAAAAAAAAAAATTATACATAGCCATTAGACCAAGCTGCCCATTTGGATGTGATTAAAGATGAAGTGTCACTTCCCTAAATCAGTCCTCTCAAACACCATTGTAGCAGAATTCTCAGTGACCACAAGTCATTACATCCCCCTATTTTCAAAGCCCCTGTTAGAAAAAAATAATATAAAAGAAGATCAAGTTGCCTTAAGAATAACTAAACGAATGTTGAATCACTTCCTCAGATAATCAAATCAAGGCATTTTTACAATCAACTTGGAAAGGAAGAAAGGTTTGAATTGCACAAGTGAAATGCCTATTCCCAGTCAGTTGGCAAAGACTACTATCTCTGCAGCCTTAAGTTACTCTCCCTGGGTTTTATTTTCTTGGCTGCAAACTGGAGCCAAGAAATAATCTCCAAGATTATTTCACCTCTTATACTCACTGAGCTTATGGGCCAAACCTCCAAGCTTAAGAGCATCAGAGAATGGGCATTATTAAGAAAGATAAAAGTAAAGCTTGGGGTTGAGGTGGTAGGGATGGAGTTAGTTATCAGTTAGTTTCAGTTAGTATCAGTTTCTGCTGCATTAAAAAAAAACGCCCCAAAACTTAGCAGCTTTAAGCAACAACCATGTATTATTTTTTATGATTTTGTGGGCTGGCTGGATGGTTCTTCTGATTTGGGCCAGCTTACCTGAGACTAAAAGATCTACAGCAGACGTCAGCAAACCTTGCCTGTACGAGACCTTATGGACCATAGGGTCTCCCTTGCAGCCACTCAACTCTGCTGCTTTAGTGCAAAAGCAGCCATGGACAATACGTACATAAATACACATGGCTGTGTTTCAATGAAACTTTATTTGCACAAGCAGCTGATGGGCTGTATTCAACTCACGGGACATAGTTTGCTGATCTTTGGTCTAGGGTGGTCTAACATACATATCTAGCTGGTTAGCTCAAGAGAAGCCAAGATGCTTCAGTTCTCTTCTACATTGCTTCCAATTTTCCAACAGGATAGCCTATGTTCATTCATATGATGTATCTGAGGTTCCACATTCAGCAAAAAGCAAGCCCCACTGCATGGCATTTTAAAAGCTTATCCCTGTGACATATTTTCCTCATTGTCCAAAGTAATTTGCATGCCATGTTCTGAGCCAAAGAATCAACAAACAGCCTCCACCCTTTTATGGAAGGAAAATGGAAAGTCACAATATAAAGTAATGCACATACAGGGGTGAAATAAATCTGTAGCCATTTTTATAATATGCCACAGGGAACCCTGTAAAAATACAAAAGCAGTGAATCCAATTTTTGAATTATTTAGATCTATCTAACCTATTAAAAGAAACCCTGAACTTATTAAAAATATAAGGCTTTGAAATGACATGAAATATACACTATTTCTCCTCAATTTTTTTTTTTTTTTTTGAAATGGAGTCTTGCTCTGTCACCCAGGCTGGAGGCAGTGGCGCAATCTCAGCTCACTGCAACCTCCGCCTCCTGAGTTCAAGCAATTCTCCTGTCTCAGCCTCCCAAGTAGCTGAGATTACAGGCACGTGCCACCATGCCCAGCTAATTTTTGTATTTTTAGTAGAGACAGGGTTTTGCCACATTGGCCAGGCTGGTCTCAAATTCCTGACCTCAGGTGATCCACCCACCTCAGCTTCCCAAAGTGCTGGGATAACAGGCATGAGCCACTGCGACCAGCCAAAATAATTTTAATGTTGTAATTATTTCAAGCTTTTTCACATGGAAAGAAATATTATCACCTAAAGAATTTCCGAGTTCCTCTGACAATATAAGCTGTAATTTATAAGGTTTGTAGAGATTAGACTATTACAGAGTGGATTAATAAAATTGTTCTAAATTGGGTATGTGTTTGGCTGCCTTCATATAAAAAGAGATGTCTATAGCCTACAGCAGTAAGCAAACAGTACATTTATCACTTGAGATTAAACATACACACTTAACTCCATCATTTTCCCTGAGTTTGATATCTGTCCTCTAGACAACAGAAGTCTGCAAAGGTAGAAGGAGCAATCACTACAGAAATTTACTGAAGTGTTATTTTATAACAGGAAGCAACTGAGACCACTGTCTAAGAAAATGGAGAAGCACCCTCAGAAAGCCAAAGGTGGAATTCCCTTTTAACATTCTGTCAAAAATATAGACATAAAAGTGAGACTATTTAGTTATTTGATAGGATTTTCAAAATTCTTTTTTTATGTTTTTTTAAATTATACTTTAAGTTTTAGGGTACATGTGCACAATGTGCAGGTTTGTTACATATGTATACATGTGCCATGTTGGTGTGCTGCACTCATTGACTTCATTTAACATTAGGTATATCTCCTAATGCTATCCCTCCCCCCTCCCCCCACCCCACAACACGCCCTGGTGTATGACGTTCCCCTTCCTGTGTCCATGTGTTCTCATTGTTCAGTTCCCACCTATGAGTGAGAACATGCAGTGTTTGGTTTTTTGTCCTTGTGATAGTTTGCTGAGAATGATGGTTTCCAGTTTCATCCATGTCCCTACGAAGGACACGAACTCATCATTTTTGATGGCTGCATAGTATTCCATGGTGTATATGTGCCACATTTTCTTAATCCAGTCTATCGTTGTTGGACATTTGGGTTGGTTCCAAGTCTTTGCTATTGTGAATACTCCCATAATAAACATACATGTGCATGTGTCTTTATAGCAGCATGTTTTATAATCCTTTGGGTATATACCCAGTAATGGGATGGCTGGGTCAAATGGTATTTCTAGTTCTATATCCCTGAGGAATCGTCACACTGACTTCCACAATGGTTGAACTGGTTTACAGTCCCACCAACAGTGTAAAAGTGTTCCTATTTCTCCACATCCTCTCCAGCACCTGTTGTTTCCCGACTTTTTAATGATTGCCATTCTAACTGGTGTGAGGTGGTATCTCATTGTGGTTTTGTTTGCATTTCTCTGATGGCCAGTGATGATGAGCATTTTTTCATGTGTCTTTTGGCTGCATAAATGTCTTCTTTTGAGAAATGTCTGTTCATATCCTTTGCCCACTTTTTGGTGGGGTTGTTTGTTTTTATCTTGTAAATTTGTTTGAGTTCATTGTAGATTCTGGATATTAGCCCTTTGTCAGATATGCAGATTGCAAAAATTTTCTCCCATTCTGTAGGTTGCCTGTTCACTCTGATGGTAGTTTCTTTTGCTGTGCAGAAGCTCTTTAGTTTAATTAGATCCCATTTGTCAATTTTGGCTTTTGTTGCCATTGCTTTTGCTGTTTTAGACATGAAGTCCTTGCCCATGCCTATGTCCTGAATGGTATTGCCTAGGTTTTCTTCTAGGTTTTTTATGGTTTTAGGTCTAACATTTACGTCTTTAATCCATCTTGAATTAATTTTTGTATAAGGTGTAAGGAAGGGATCCAGTTTCAGCTTTCTACATATGGCTAGCCAGTTTTCCCAGCACCATTTATTAAATAGGGAATCCTTTCCCCATTGCTTGTTTTTCTCAGGTTTGTCAAAGATCACATAGTTGTAGATATGCGGCATTATTTCTGAGGGCTCTGTTCTGTTCCATTGATCTATATCTCTGTTTTGGTACCAGTACCATGCTGTTTTGGTTACTGTAGCCTTGTAGGATAGTTTGAAGTCAGGTAGCATGATGCCTCCAGCTTTGTTCTTTTGGCTTAGGATTGACTTGGCAATGTGGGCTCTTTTTTGGTTCCATATGAACTTTAAAGTAGTTTTTTCCATTTCTGTGAAGAAAGTCATTGGTAGCTTGATGGGGATGGCATTGAATCTATAAATTACCTTGGGCAGTATGGCCATTTGGATTTTCAAAATTCTATGTGGAATATTATGGCTTCTCTGGCTGAATCTGGTACTGATACTCATTTATAGTTTTAAATAGTTTTATTTGTATGAATATGGATTTTTAATTTGTCAACAATAAAGAAGCATAAAGATATACAAAATGTAGAGAACTTTGAAACAAAATTGAAGGCGTCCCCTACATGAGAGAGATGGCTTCTGTATGTGGTACAATTTTTTTGTGTGTTCTCAAGATTAACCTCTAAGTGACAAAACTGCCCTCTCCTTAACTTCTAATCTTCAGGAGAGGGAATAATAAATCTTCAAAATAATCCTTTCAGAGAAGAAGCAACCAACATTGTTAAGTATAAAAAGAATAACGTAAATCGTTTCCGATTAGCTGTTGCAGGGAGGTCCGGGAAGAGACTGATCTTACTGCTTAGAATAGTAGATCTTAAACTGTGGTCCCAGACCAGCATCACCTGGGAACCGGTTAGATATGCAAATTATCCAACCCATACACTATTCCATAAATCATAAATTCTAGAAATGAAGTCAAACAATCTGTGCTTTAACAAACTGCTTAGTTGAAGATGACGTATACTAAAGTTTGAGAACCACTATTATAAAATGACAGAATAGGATTGTTACATTAAGAGAGACACTAGAAGCCAATTATGACTGATAATTTTAAACTACCTGTTCTCAGCAATCTTCATAGCTCATTTGCTTTTTGTTAAATTAGATATTCAGTCAGGAATTTTTACTGACTACTAAAAATAGGCTTGATTGGCAAATCATCATGTTGTGAATGCCTACTTTTCATTTCCTTTTCAAGTTAGGTGGCATCAGTATAGCCACAGATGAAATAGTTACATGAACAAAGTTAGGACATGGAAGTGAGATAAAATTCTATCTCCTTTTAAAGTTTTCAAAAAGTATGTACTTCCTGTGACTCCACAGAGTTAATTTGGATAAGAAGAGTAACAAAAATTTGCAATGTTGTCCTTAGAGAAATCACACAATATGAGTCTAGTGTGCATGAACACAGACACAATTTACCTAAAGAATTACAAGTGGTATCTTTCTCATCTTAAAAAAAAAAAGCTAAAAGTAAACAAACACTTAAAATATTCATGAAAAAGACCTAGAAAGGAAGTTAACAAACTAGATGAAATTCAATTTAGCAGAATTTGAGCCAAAATAGTAGATGGAGCATAAACTAGACATAATATGGAGTACGGAAGAGCTCTGGTCAGCCAGGTGTGGTGGTGTGCACCTGTGGTCCCAGCTTCTTGAGAGGCTAAGGCAAGAGGACTGCTTGAGCCTGAGAGTTCGAGGCTGCAGTGAGCCATGTTCACACGACTGGACTCCAGCCTGGGCAACAAAGTGAGACCCTGTCTCAAAAAAAGACAGACAGAGAGAGAGACAGAAAGAGAGAGAAAGAGAGAGAGAGAGAGAGAGTACACTCCGGAAGTTCATTTGGGTTTGGAGATTTTTGGTTTGGGTTTTTTTTTTAACTTATCTGGAGGGGTTCCATGAGTTTACAATTTCATATACTTTTGCTTTTTTCTACCTTCATGGAGAAGTTGCAAATAGCCAGGATGTTACAGCTTTAGACTACATGCTTTTCTCAACCAGTCCCCCATCTCCAGCCACTTTCTACATCTTGTTCTTACTGTTGAACATGCATATCTCACAGGGCATAGGACTTTCCAACAGAGAGTTACACAATTGTAATCACATTCCAAAAACTTTTCTACTTAATGAAGCATGTGAGTGACATTTGCAAGTGCATTTAACAGCCTATGAGAAATCTTAAGCTCAAATATGGTAGAGGTCACACAAATTCATAATGGAAAAGATTATCCTAAAGGGAAAAAACTGGCTTTTCTATGCGTGTTTTACACATTTGGTTGTCTGACAACTGAAGCTAATCAAGATAGTTCAAGATGTGCTATGCCTGAGAATGTGGTTTTCTGGAATAAAGGTGAAAAGAGAGGACATTTACTTACTACAAATCTAAAATAAAGCACTACTAACCAGCACTAGTCTCGGATACTCAGAACTGAAATTTCTCTTTCCATAGTAAATTTTAAACTTGGATGGTATTTTATGTAGAATTATTGGAGAAAATGACCCAATTATATGTGTTTCTTTCATACTGCATGAAGATTCGTTTCTACATCTTTAAAAAGAAAGCTATAAAAATTTACAATAAGGATAAAGACTATTTTCTGATGCATTATACTTATGACTAGTTTATTAAAAATAATTATTTGGTTTTTTAGAAGCTTTGTACATGAATTACGATAATCTGTGAACTCTAAAGACAATAAAAGTATTATTTCCACAAAAGCAACATGAGATTGAGACTCAAAACCAATTGACTGAAAGCACATACATCTGGAGGTGGCCTATGTAAAACTTAAGAATCACAGGCTTCATTCTTAACTCAAACTATAGGCATGACTAACCATTTATAGGTCTCATTGAACTTATTGAAATAAAAGTTTTCACAACTGATCAGCCCTACTGTCTTTCTCAAATTTGTATTCACAACTAAAATCAAAGTTGCATGTCATTTTTGGTGGGAACAAAAGAGAATTATGAGTTTGAAAGAAATACAAAGAATCAAATTAGGCAGAATGCAATGAAACAGTGCATAGAGGGAAATTTATATCATTTAATGCATATTATAGAAAGAAAGACCTCAAATCAATAATTTAAGCTTCCATCTTAGGAAACTATAAGAAAAGAGCAAATTAAATCCAAAGTAAGCAGAAAGAAATAATAAAAATTAGAGCAGAAATCAATAACAATAAAACAGGTAGGAAATCAACAGAGAAAATCGGTAAAACTTTGGCCAGGCTAACCAAGAATAAAAAGAGAAGACACAAATAACTAATATCAGGAAAGAAAAAGGGGTCAACATGATTAATCCTATGGACACTAAATGGATAATAAAAAAATAGTATGAGCAACTCTATAATCACATTTTTACATTGCGATGAACCTATTCCTTGGAAAACACATTCTACCAAAACTCACATGAGAAGAAACAATCTGAATATGCCTGTATCTATCATAGAAATTGAATCCATCATTAATAACCTTCCAAAATAGAAAATTCCAGGCAAAGATGGGTTCACTTATGAATTCTACCAAACATTTAAGGATGACACAATATGAATTCTCTATAATCTCTTCCAGCAAACAATTAGAAGGAATACTTCACATCTCATTCTATGAAACCAACATTAATATAAAAACAAAGACATTACTAAATAGGAAAACTATAGGCCAATCCATAGCATGAACATAAATACAAAAGTCTCAACAAAATATTAGCAAACCAAATCCTGTAATTTATTTTTAAAAAGCAATTATACACCATGACCAAGTGAGATTTATTCCAAGGATACAATGTTGGACCAACATTCAAAAATCAGTTAATGTAAACAATCACATAAACAGGCTAAAGAAAAAAATTATAGGATCATGTCAATATATTCAGAAAAGCATCTGTGAAAGTCCAACACCCATTTGTGATTTCAAAAAAAAACTCTCCACAAACTACGAACAGAGGGAAGCTTCCTCAACTTGATAACGGCCATCTACAAAAGAACCCATAGTTAGCATCATACTTAACATTGAGAAAATAAATACTTTTCCACCATAATTGTGAATAAAGCAAGTATTTCTGCTCTCATCACTCTTATTCAACATCCCACTGGAAGTGCTAGATTGTGCAATAAGACAAGAAAAGGAAATTAAAATTATATAGATTATGAAGGAAGAAATCAAACCGTCTTTGTTTACAGATGACATCATTGACATCATTTCTATGTAGAAAACCCCAAAGAAGCAACAATAAACTCCTGGAACTAGTAAGCGATTCTAATAAGAATTCAGGATATAAAGTTAATATATTAAAGTCAATTGCTTCCCTATGTACCAGCAATGGTCAATTGTAATATGAAATTAAAACACAGTGCCACTTGTATTAGCAAAGAAATGAAATAGTCATAAGTATCACAAAATATGTACAAGATTTATGTGAGGAAAAACACAACTCTCTTGAAAGAAAACATAGAAGTCCTAATTAAGTGGAAAGACATTGCATGTACATGAAAAGGAAGACTCAATATTGTTAAGATGTCAGTCTTCCCAACTTGTTGTATAGATTCAATGTAATCCCAATTAAAACCCCAGAAAGTTATTTTTCGGAAGCCAACAGATTCTACAGTTTCGGTGAAAAGACAAAAAGTCCAGAATACCTAATACAATGTAAAAGAAAAGAACAAAGTTGGAAAAGTGACACTACATGACTTGAAGACTTACTATGAAGGTACAGTACTGAAGACAGTAGGAAGACAGTATGGTATCAGTAAAAGAACAAATAGAGAATTCGATCAAAGTAGCCCAGAAATCAACCCCCACACATATCGTCAACTGATCTTTGTCAAAGGACTAAAGGCAATTCAAACACTTAAAATATTCATGAAAAAGACACAGAAAGGAAGTTAACAAACTAGATGAAATTCAATTTAGCAGAATTTGATCCAAAATAGTAGACTATCTTTCGTTGAAAGACAGTCTTTTCAACAAATGGTACTGCAACAAGTGGATATCTACATGCAAAATCATAAATATAGACACAGACCTTAAAACTTTCATAAAAATTAACTCAAAATTGTTGCAGGAAGTCAGGGACCCCAAATGGAGGGACCTGCTGGAGCCGCGGCAGAGCAACACAAATTGTGAAGATTTCATGGACATTTATCAGTTCCCAAATAATACTTTTATAATTTCTTATGCCTGTCTTTACTTTAATCTCTTAATCCTGTTATCTTTGTAAGCTGAGGATGTATGTCACCTCAGGACCACTGAGATAATTGTGTTAACTGTACAAATGGATTGTAAAACATGTGTGTTTGAACAATATGAAATCAGTGCACGTTGAAAAAGAACAGAATAACAGCGATTTTTAGGGAACAAGGGAAGACAACCATAAGGTCTGACTGCCTGTGGGGTCAGGCAAAAGAGCCATATTTTTCTTGCAGAGAGCCCATAAATGGATGTGCAAGTAGGAGACATGTCACTAAATTCTTTTCCTAGCAAGGAATATTAATATTAATACCCTGGGAAAGGAATGCATTCCTGGGGGGAGGTCTATAAACGGCCGCTCTGGGAGTGTCTGTCTTATACGGTAGAGATAAGGACTGAGATACACCCTGGTCTCCTGCAGTACCCTCAGGCTTACTAGGGTGGGGAAAAACTCCACCCTGGTAAATCTGTGGTCAGATGACTTTTCTACTCTCGAATCCTGTTTTCTGTTATTCAAGATGTTTATCAAGACAATACTTGCACCGCTGAACATAGACCCTTATCAGTAGTTCTGCTTTTGCCCTTTGCTTTGTGATCTTTGTTGGACCCTTATTAGTAGTTCTGCTTTTGCCCTTTGCCTTGTGATCTTTGTTGGACCCTTATCAGTAGTTCTGCTTTGCCCTTTGTCCTGTTCCCTCAGAAGCATGTAATCTTTGTTCTGCTTTTTGCCCTTTGAAGCATGTGATCTTTGTACCTACTCTCTGTTCTTACACCCCCTCCCCTTTTGAAACCCTTAATAAAAAACTTGCTGGTTTGAGGCTCAAGTGGACATCATGGTCCTACCAATATATGATGTCACCCCTGGCAGCCCAGCTGTAAAATTCCTCTCTTTGTACTGTCTCTCTTTATTTCTCAGCCAGCCGACACTCATGGAAAATAGAAAGAACCTATGTTGAAATATTGGGGGCAGGTTATCCCAAAACAAAATGAATCACAGACCTAAAGGTAAAACATTAAAAACTCCTAAGAGATACCATAGGATAAAATCTAAGTGACTTGGGTATGGTGATGACTTCTTAAATTCAACACCAAAAGCATGATCCATGAGAAAAAAAAATGTGCATGTTGCACTTTATGAAAACGAAAATTTTCACTCTACAAAAGACACTTCCAAGATGGTGAAAAGATAAACCACAGAGGGGAAAGAAATATTACAAAATATATATCTGATAAAGGATTGGTATACAAAATATACAAGGAACTCCAAAAATAAACTCAACAAATAAACTCCAAAATAAACTCTAAAACTCCAATAAATAAACTCCAAAAATAAAACTCAACAATTTAAAAAAAACCCAGTTAATAAACATAGAAAAGATCTGAACAGACCTGACCAAGGAAGTTATAAAAATGGCAAATAAGCACAGGAAAAGATGCTCAACATCATCTGTCATTAGAAAACTGAAAATAAATTTGTAGTACTTCTACACATCTATTAAAATTACTAAAATCCAACACACTGACAATGCCAAGTGTTGGTGAGGACACAGAGTAACGTGGATTCTCATTCTTTGCTGATGGGCAGAATCTGGAAATTCTTACAAAGTTAAACATAGTTTTACCATACAATTTAGAAACTGTCCTCCTAGGTATTTACTTAAATAGATTAAAAATGTTTGTACACACAAAAAAATTGTACAGGAATGTTATAGCAATGTTATTCATAATTGTCAAAACTTGAAAGCAATGAAGATATTCTTCCACTTTTTCCCTATGTGAATTGGCTGTTTGTGTTCTGGTTCATTTTGTTTTTATATTAGGTTGCTGGTCTTTTGCTTGCCAGCAAAAGGAGTTTTCATATATCATATGTGTTATATATGCTGTATATGCTGTTCATATTCTTCTTTTGATACATAGGCTGTCTGTGATATATGTTGCACATATTGTCCTCCCAAGACTACCAGTTGTTTTCAACTTTATGATACCTTCTTTTGCTAAATGTTTTCAGGTTTTAATGTGCCCAAATTTTTCCATCTTCTTCAAATTTTGGCTCTCTTTTCCTCTTTTATTGTCTTTTACTTTCTTTTTATTTGGCTTTTGCATTAGTAGGGTAACTGTACAATTACAGTACCAACTTGGACATTTTGGTGAATAAAAGGTGGTGCTACAATTATTATAATTGTGTAGTTATTAAAACCATCTGATGAATTGTTTCATTATGATGGTAAACCTATGAAATAGCTCCTTTCAAAACCTATTTTCAAAAAAAGATTTATAAAAATACAATTAGCATATATTCATGAAAAATAGTATAAAAATATTTATAGTATCTAAACGCTTAAAAATCAGAATAATTATTCTTAGAATATATTCATGTAGTCTAATTCATTTCTTTGATAACATGTCACAAGTATTTTTCTTAAGAATATAATTTTTTTCTTATTTTTTTTCTTATTTTTGCTTTTTTTTAAATTATACTTTAAGTTCTAGGGTACATGTGCACAACATGCATGTTCGTTACATAGGTATACATGTGCCATGTTGGTTTGCTGCACCCATCAACTTGTCATTTGCATTAGGTATTTCTCCTAATGCTATCCCTCCCCCAGCCCCCCACCCCCCACCAACAGGCCCCATTGTGTGATGTTCCCCGCCTTGTGTCCATGAGAGGGAGAGGGGGAGGGAGGAGGAGGGGAGGGGAGGGAAAAGAGAAAGGAAGGGAGGAATGGAGGAATGGAGGAATGGAGGAAGGGAGGGAGGGAGCGACAGTGAGGGAGGATGGGAGCGGAGAGGAAGGATGGGAAGGAGGAAGTCTTTGGAGATGACTGAAAAGTTTACAGCATTGATTGTGGTGATGGTTTCACAGGTGTACACTTATCTCCAATCTCATCATGGTGTATACATTAAATATGTACAGCTTTTTACATGCCCATCATACTCAGTGAAGTGATTTTGTTTTTAAAGGGTGACAGGAAGTTTCAGTCTCCATTTAATCCAATATCTTTAACCAGATGTTTTTTTTTTTTTTTTGAGACAGGGTCTCACTCTGTTGCCCAGACTGGAATGCAGTGGTGTGATTTCAGCTCACTGCAACCTCCGCCTCCCTCTAACTGGAATTTTCTAATATCCACTCTTTTTTTATTTAACCCCTAATGCATTACATAAAAAACAATTGCCATAATATCCTATAATAACTTGTTGCATCATAATAGCTCACTTCCTAATAAAATCAAAAGTTTTGCTTCAACTCATGATGGAAATTAAAATCACCAAATAATTACTGTTCAATAATGCAGGTATAAAACATGTACCTGGGATACCACACTATTCCTGCTTACAAGCATAGTTCGTGTGTCTTATAAAGCTAAAAGGTAAATTTCTCTGACTTGTGAAGGGTCTATATTAAGGTGATTTCTAACAACAAGAATGTACTCCCTGTAAAAATAAAATTGATTGCTTCAAGTCTTCATGATGAGTCAATTTAATTAAATAAAATCCCTCCTGAGTGAAATACTTAATATTCCACCTCAAAATGTATCTAATTACCCGTGTTATTGTTTTTGCTTTCTGAATAATACCCATTAAAAGATAAGAGTTCAAGAACATTATAAAATTAGAAATCCATAAAGAAAACTTTATTTGGGTTCAGCTTGGAGAGTAAATGCCACCTACCCACAGGAGTTATTCGAATGCATGTACTTGCTATTTACTTTAAACTATAATGGCATTTTCTAGGCAATGTTAGAGCAGGAGACAGTTAGTCATTTTCCTTGAGAAAAACGCAGTTTTACTCTGATGGTTTTCAAGCCCAGTATTTCTTCAAAGGATGAACATTCTGCTTTCAAACACAATTTGTGATTGTTCCCAAAAGAAAGAACAGTGTGAAACAGGAAAAGATTATTATTTCTATTCTGACCATTATTCTCTCCATTTGTCCCACTAAATATATAAGAAATGAAAGAATTTTAAGCAGCAGTCATTAAACAAGCATAGAGAGTGAAGGAACTATGCTGAAAAATAATATCCAGAGGGGAAATTTTTTTCCTTAGAATAAAGGTCCCATTAAAGTGCTGTCTAACTTTCAGAGTTTAATAATTGAAGAGCATCGTTTCCATTATCTTACCAACTATCAAATGTATTGTCCATACTATACACCCAATGAATACCAAAAACCCCAGCATCTCCTAGGATAAGTAGACCAAAACCTTAGGGGATGACCATTGTCCATTTTTCTCTGAAACTATCTCCAAAATAGAAAATGAATAAGTATTAGGCCATTCTTTCTTTAATTATTTGGGACTGTAGAATTATTTTCAAAGTCCCAGAATGGTCTTCATCTAAGTTATTATGGAACCCATAATCTGTCCCATCAAATACAAGGGAGAGAATTCACCAAAACCAAAATGAATGAACAATCACACAACCAGCCCCTTCCAAGCAAGATTTTTCTTTTTTCCTTTTTCTTTTTTTTCTCTTTTTTTCATTTTTTGAGACAGAGTCCGGCTTTGTCACCCAGGCTGAAGTACAGTGGTACGATCGTGGCACTGCAGCCTCTACTTCCTGGGCTCAAGAGATCCTCCCACATCAAGTAGCTGGGACTACAGGAGTGCGCTACCAGGTTCAGCTAATCTTTTTATTATTTTGTAGAAATGGGAGCTCTCTTTGCTGCCCATCCTGATCTTGACCTCCTGGGCTCAAGCAATCTTCCCACCTCGGCTTCCCAAAGTGCTAGGATTACAGGCATGAGCCAACATGTCCAGCCGTTTTGTCTTACTCTTTAGTGTATCCCTACTGCCTCGCACAGAGTTAAGTTGCATTATTAATAAATGATGTCTGTTTTTAGAAAGAATTTTTAACTGAATTGACCCAAATATATAGGAAAACAGGGAATTCTCTTTCCAATTTCCATCTTTGTCACCCACACACACAACACTCCAAGGAAGGGTAGTTAGGAATAATTATTTTAGTTCGTTCATTCTCTCTTCCTTTAACACAGCAGCTATATTTCCATGTTTCTCACACGCAGCTTTCTACATTTCTCTTAATTATGCTTCCAGGAGTCGAGGGGAAAGAGATTTGGGTGGAGGAGGATGTCTGTTTGACTTGCACTATAAATTGCCTCTGACAATAACATTTATACTTGCCAGAAATTCAGTTGGGCAATATGACTGCTGCGGCAATGTAAATTTATGCAAACCTATATAATTGCTGATGATGGGGGAAAGATAATTGAGCTTAATATTTGATGAGAAAGACAGAAAAAAGTATGATCCCTTCGAGTCCGCCATATGCTGAGTTCCCAATTATCAGGATTTGAAGCTTGAGTGACACACTAAAATGAAAAAAAAATAATAACAGTGATGAGTATCATCAAGAATTATAAGCAAACCAGGGGAAGAGACTGAAAGCCGCTAATGACAGGTGAAGAATTACTCCAGGAAACTCAGCCTGGGTCAGAACCAGAATACTCAGTGTGTGTCTAAATCACAAACTTCAGGTATTTTAGATAAGACTGAGGCTGTAGGACAAGGACAGTGAAGGGATGGGGTAATACTAGGGGCAACCTGCATGCTAGGACAAGAGCAGGTAGTTTTGAGCCAGTGGAGCACAGAAGGTTTCTCATTTCCATTTCAATCCACCGCTGGCCAGCATTCCCAGTTCTGTCTGTGCAACAGAACCCAGTGTCAACAACTGGTTGCTGTACTCATGTGTGATAAAATCAGCATGGCAGTTCCAAGGGGCTTCATTCCAGAAATGCTAGACCATCCCTGGCCTCATTATACAGGGATGGATTCCTCCTTGTGGCCAATTCAGTCAGGGGAGAGGCTTTAGTATTATCAAAATCTCACCTCCCCGGGAAAAATACCATTTTATGCACACATCCATTCAGTTGAGCCTCGCTAAACCTTTTCGATTTTGAAATGAAGATTTTGCTCTTACTCAATGGTATAGCATTATAAGCAGGAGCTTTGTGCTGTGAATGGGAGCTTAGAAATAAATAAAATTTAAATATCATTATATGGTTGTGACTGTAGAGATAGTTTTTCTGAGCCAGGACATTCTAGCCTTCTCATATTTATTCAGCACCAATTTGAATATGTCCATATTTGCTTTCATACAGTGCAAATTTCTGCTAAAAGACAGTAAGATACTTTTCTTTTCTTTTCTTTTCTTTTTGTTATCCTTTCAGTCTTCAGTTAGGGCCCTTATTGAACTAATTTACCTGATTATTTACTTCTTTTGCAGTGATATAAAAGTTAATAATGACACTGTCATAATTCAAACAAAATGTTAAAACATACATTGATAGATGTAGATGACAGGCAGATGGCTAGATAGATAGATGGATGATTTTATCCATCTTTGTTTGTATAGATATAAAAGTACATTTAGTGGCTGAGTACAGTGGCTCACACCTGTAATCCCAGTGCTTTGGGTGGTTGAGTCAGGCAGATTGTTTGAGCCCAGGAGTTTGAGACCAGCTTGGGAAGCATGGGAAAATCCTGTTTCTACAAAAAATACAAAAATTAACCAGGCATGGCAGTGTGCACCTGTGGTCCCAGCTACTCAGGTGACTGAGGTTGGAGGATCACTTGAGCCTGGGAGCTCAAGGCTGCTGTGAGGCATGATGGTGCCACTGTACTCCAGTCTGAGCAAGACCCCATCTCAAAAATAAAAAAAATAAATAAATAAAGTACATTTTATCTCCACCTGATCCCAATTGACTCTAACCTTATATTCAAGACAGATTCCATGAAACAAACAATATGTATCTGTGATAAAAAACAATCTTCCCTTTTGATTTTGCTCTCCCTAGACTACGTGGCCAGAGTTGCCTCAAATTTGAGGGAACCTCTCAACATAATTGGCTGACAAGGTAGTATATCAACTTCATAATCGCTATCCACTCTTTCACCTTGAACACCACTGCAATTCTTCCTATTACTGGCTCCAAGTTCCACCCTCTCATGTATGTTTCCTCCTGCAACCATGGCCTCCTAAGAAATCCTAAAATAACATAGCTAAAATAGATCTGAGTCTGCAGGCTGAATCTGAAGAAATGCTAAAGATACCTTGATTTTCCAGTTTTGTGGAAGCAAGAAAAATGGTCTCAAGCCTAGATCAGTGATGAAAACTTTGAAAAGTTTAACTATTATTCTCTTTACTTGCTAGATTAGATTCCTATGGCTGCTACAATTACCATAAACTTAAAGCATCAGAAATATATTCTGTCGCATTTCTGACACCAGTCACTGAATTCATATATATCTTTACAACAATCGAAATAAAACTGGTTAAAGGCCAGAATCCCTCCCCCACCCTCTGCAACTAGTTCTAACTATCTATACTGGAAATTACCAAAAGGTTTGCCACGGATTGCTTTGACCCCAAAATGTTAACAGATAATAATGAGAAAAAAATATGCCTCATGATAAAATCAGTTTGGAAAATCCAGGGTTAAATACCAATTTTATTCCAAGCCTACTGAGAGCCTTCAGTGGACTGATGTATGCCGAGGCTCCCCTGGGGAAGTTTGGTGTCTGTAGCACTTTCCAGTTGTCTATATCCCTTTTAGGGGGGATTAACTTCAGGAAGCAATGAGAGTGTATAGATAGTAGTTTGCAAGAAACTTCGATAGACCGCACAAACATTACAAAGTTAACATGGGAAGGTCGTATCTATAAAGGAATGCAAGACATTAGAGAGCTGTAGGCATATTCTCCTGGGAGGTGCAGAGAAGGAGAATGGAGTCTAGAGAAAGTCTGAAATTATCTCCTGACATCAGCTTTCCACTTCGTTCAGTTTGATGCTCAGTATATCTACTCAATTTTGTTTAAGCCACTACCTATTTTAACTTGGCATAGGCGGTGTTGACTCTCTGTAAACAACAAAAGTAATGAAATTCTAATCACTACCATATTAGAAAAAATATGTCCTACAGTATATCAATATATAGGACTAGATAAATGCCTGAAAGAAAGTATTTTCTGAGTGATCTTTAGGGCAGCATGGCTGGTTTTTACTTTATGGTACAAGAAAGGAGTAAAATGTTCAGCAGTCTTCAGTTCCTCCAAATACAATTCATCTTAGGGCACACCCACCTGAGTGGAGCTAGTCCGATTTAAAAAAACTATAGGAAAACCAATGAGTGACCTTTCTGTTATGCTTCCAGTGGCATGATTTTGACTGTAAGATTATGTTGCTAATCAGTACAGACAATAACAAAAATAAGTATGGGGCATTACAAACATAACAAAAATATTTTCCATACTAGTTTCTTAGATCACCTGGAATTAAAAAAAAAAAAAAAAAAACAATTGGCTCTTTCAAAGAGACATTAATCCCTGAAGCACTCAGGACAATGGTCTTTGTAAGAAAGCATCATTACAGCTCTTGTGCCTCCAGGGTGGATCTGAACAGTGAAAATCACAGTAGAAGCACTCAGATGCATGGGGAAAAGGAAACAAGGAAAATGTGAGGATATTTTTATTCTATCCACTCATTTCAAAAGAAAATAACCTGATAGCAAGGAGAAGACAGGGAGCATCACTGATTAACAGACAGGGCCAGCTGCATAATTTGCAAGGCTCAGAGCAAAATGAAAATGCCTACATTTCAAACAAGGGCCCCTTGTTTGCAGCACTGACAAAAAGCTTTCTCCCTTCTTCCCAAGTTTTGTCTCTTGACCTGCCACAGTGGGTTTTCGAGTTTTTGTTTTGTTTTGTTTTGTTTTTTTGCTTGCTATTTAATGTTGTATAAGTCCAACTTTAACCTCTGACACATATCCAGATCCTACTTGGAGTGGGGGTATAGGTCACAGGTGGTGTTGGGAGGGGCAGGGGAGCAGGTGCCTGAGAATCCATCCTAGGAGGTGTGGAGGAGGCAGGAGCTGCAATCCCACATGGACTGAGGCTCCGAGCCCCTAGCCCATACTCAGTTGTCCCAGTTGTCAGATTTCACTTGCATAGCACAAATGGAAATATTAAATTGTTCCGAATTTCAGGACAACAATTGCATGTAGAGCATTTGGTATGATTTGGCTGCATACTCACCAAAATCTCAACTCAAATTGTAATCCAAATTCCAATCCCCACATGTTGAGGGATGGACCTGGTGGGAGGTGATTGGATCATGGTGGTGGTTTCCCCCATGCTGTTCTCATTATAGCAAGTGAGTTCTCATGAGCTCTGGTTGTTTGATAAGTGTCTGGTGCTTCCTGCCCCCATCTCCTGCTGCCAGGTAAGAAGTGCCTTGCTTCCCATTCGCCTTCCACCATGATTGTAAGTTTCCTGAGGCCTCTCAGCCATACAAAACTGTGAGTCAGTTAAACCTCTTTTGCTTATAAATTACTCAGTCTCAGGTAGTATCTTTATAGCAGTGTTAAAATAGACTCATATAGCATTAAGCTCTAAGTGCTGTGAGCTGCACTGGTTGCATGTCCATGAAGCCCGTCTTGATAACTGATGAGGGTCAGAGCCCAGGGCATATTAACTGATTAAATTATAATAAATTAGAGCTAAAGGCACCGGTGGAAATGGCTCCTCTGGCACCCCAAAATCCTCCTTTCCATATTTTACCTTATTCTGCTAAGCTGCTGGGACAAGACAAATGAGATTTAATCAAATCTGCAGTGAAAGTGAGACTTTCTGGGAAGTGATTTGAATTGGTTCATGTTTATTATTCCTGACATATTTAATTAGCAGCTTTGCTGTTACTGGATATTAAAATATTTAGGAAGTAAATCTACTTTTCTTTCTCAGTTTCTCCCTATTACCCAAGCCAAATTTACTTTTTCACTCACTGTACTGCCATGGAGATCCACAAATTTTAATCTAATTTCCATTAAATTTAATTCCCCACTACTTGCAAGTTCATTGTTAAAAACAAAAAAAAGAAGAAGAAGGCGGCCAGGTGTGGTGGCTCATGCATGTAATCTCTGTAATTTGGGAGGCTGAGGTGGGAGGATCACTCGAGCCCAGGAGTTTGAGACCAGCCTGGGCAATATAGTGAGACCCTACCTCTATTTCAAAAAAAATTATTTAAAAAAAAGAAGATGTAGTAAAATTATGTATATGTTCTATGATAAGGTAATTAGAATAATTTTGCCTGGTTATCTCATAATATCTGCTGAGGTTATCTAACAAGATTTTTCTATATTGCTGAATTCGTTTCTTCCATTTGGTAAAAATTCACCATACAGTGATTGAGACCCATCAATTTCACAAAGAGGGCAGTTAATTATTTTTCTAATTGAAAGTTTTCTTTGCCAAACTCAGAGAATCTGGAGCACGTTAAATAAGTCATCAAAAAAATTAAGTCCTCAAAGCTAGAGAAGACTGTTGGTAACAAAGAGTTGCTAATGAGAACAGCAAAGTTTTATTACAACTTCCTGCAATACTTTCAAAATTATGAAATAATTTATAATGTTCTGACAAGAGAATAATATAGCATCCAATGCAGTCTTATTAACTGGAAAGCATCTAATTTTTGAACAGATGTACTATCCCTATTCAACCACCTCCAGGGACTAATTCAGAACCACAGGGTTTAATTTGAAAGAAAAGGAGAGCACTTTTTTCTTAATAATATCACAGTTTCAGCTTGCTCTGCTGCAATTTTGGGAAAAGGACAAAGAAAAATTGTGCTATTTGTGTCCCAGCAGCAAAAACACCTGAGGGAATGAAGACTCCGTAGGGCTTTTGTCTGTTATTATTTTCAACCCAACTGTAAAGAACCAGAAAGATCAACATAGGGTCTAAAGTGGATAAAAGCAGAGTGAAACTGAGTTTCTAATGGGGTGAACATTCAGCAAAAGACAGGATTCATTATCTTTGCAGGGCCAGCTGATAACACAGGATTTCTGCAAAGAAAAAGTAGAAATTGCACTCTTTAGAATGAGCTCTTCAGAGGAGCCTTAAATTGTTTCCTGCTAATTTCAAGCAGAACAATCAGAGTAAACAGACTGTTGACTTACCTTTGGTAAGATGAGCACACCTATAAGGACAAATAAAGGTGAACCTCAGCTGTTAGTAGCTGTGCCTCAGAGAAAACATATGCTTATTAAACAGCTATGTCTCCTTAATCAACAGCATGAAGGAAATATTCGGTAGCGCTGATTATAAAACACAGCTGTAAAGCTTAATTATTCTTGCAGGGCTTCACATCCCCTAATTCTGACACAGAATCATTTATTAACTGCACTTTACCCTGTGGAATATATTATTCCATTGACTATACAAGTGTTACAGACTTCTTCATGAAGGCATATAAGATAACATTCCCTTGGGTCCATGTACATAAATAATTAATATATTCTATTAAGAAAATTATTTCTTTTTATCCTATGATCATTAAAGATCATGTAACACCATCATGAGTCGTCATGAAAATGCAAATCAAAATCACAATGGGATACCACTTCACATCTACTAGGATAGCTAGAACCAAAAACTCAGCTAAGTGTTGAAAAATATTTGGAGAAACTGGACCCTAATACACCACTGGTGGGAATATAAAATGGTGCAAGCTCCTTTGGAAATCAGTGTGGCACTTCCTCAAATGATTAAACATAGAGTTACCATAGGATCCAGCAAGTCCACTCTCGGAGATGTACCCAAGAGAAATGAAGACATGCCATACACAAGTGTTTATGGCAGAATTATTCCTATTAGCCAAAATCTGGAAACAAACTATATGTCTACGTGTTAATGTATGGATAAACAAAATATATATGAATTAATAATATAAAATATTTTATATGAAGGAATAATATAAAATATTATTCATCCATAAAAAAGAATGAAGTTCTGGTAACATGCTGCAACATGGATAAACTTTGAAAACATCATGTTAAGTGAAGGAAGCCAGTCACAATAAAGAATACATGCTTAATATGTCCATTTCATATAAAATCCTAGAATAAGGAAATCTATAGAGACCGAAAATAGATAAGTGGTTGCTTATTGCTGAGGGGTAGAGGATACTCAAGGATAAAAAGGAAAAGCCAGGTTGTGCAGGGTTTATTTTTGGGGTGATGAAAGCTCTAAAATTGACTACAGTGATTAGTGTATGTATTTATGAATATACTAAAAACCACTGAATGATACACTTTAAATGTGTGAACTATATGGTATGCAAATTCTATCTTAATGAAGCTGTTATTTCATTTTTAAAAAAAGAGAAGAAAATCACAAAGCATATTTTAGCTCCTACTTTGAAGGAGTCAGAATCAAGGTTCTGCACAACTTTGGAAAAATGTATAAACTTTATAGATTTTTTTTTTCCTCTTCTATTTCTATTTTAGGTTCAAGGGGCACATATAGAGGTTTGTTACATAGGAAAATTGCATGTCACTGAGGCTTGTGTGTAAATGATCCTGTCACCGAGGTAGTCAGCATGTTACCTGACTGGCAGCCTTCCAACACATGCCTCTCTTATACCCTCCCTCCTCAACAGCCCCCAGTGTCTATTGCTCCCATCTTTGTGTTCATACGTGTTCAATGTTTAACACTCCACTTATAAGTGAGAACATGTAGCATTTGGTTTTCTGTTCCTGATTTAGTTCACTGAGGATAATGGCTTCCAGCTGCACTCATGTTGCTGCAAAGGACATGATTTCATTCTTTTGTATGGCTGCATAGTACTCCATGGTGTATATGTACCATATTATCTATATCCAGTCCACCATTGATGGGCATCTTGGTTGATTCCACATCTTTGCTACTGTGAATAGTGCTGCAATGAACATATATGTGCATTTGTCTTTTTGGTGGAACAATTTATTTTCCTTTAGGTATATACCCAGTGATGAGATTGCTGGGTCAAATAATAGTTCTGTTTTAAGTTCTTTGAGAGATCTCCAAACTGCTTTCCACAGTGGCTGAACTAATTTATGTTTCCACCAGCAGTATATAAGTGTTCTCTTTTCCCTGCAACCTTGCCAGCATCTGTCATTTTTTGACTTTTAAATAACAGCCAGTCTGACTGGTATGAGGTGGCATCTCACTGTGGTTTTGATTTGCATTTCTCTAATGATTAGTGAAGAATATTTTTTCATATATTTGTTGGCTATGTGTGGGTCTTCCTTTCAAAAGTATCTGTTCATGTCCCTTACCCATTTTTTAATGGAGTTGTTTTATGCTTGTTAATTTAAGTTCCTTACAGATTCTGGATATTAGGCCTTTGTCAGATGCACAGTCTGCAATTACTTTCTCCCATTCTGTAGGTTGTCTGTTTACTCTATTGATAGTTTCTTCTGCTCTGCAGAAACTATTTAGCTGAATTAGGTCCCACATGTCAATTTTTGTTTTTGTTGTAATTGTTTTGGTTTTATTGTAATTGTAATTGTTGTAATTGTAATTGTTGTAATTACTCATACCTTCTTTGCAAAGGACAATGTTTAGAATGGCATTTCGTAGGTTTTCTTCTAGAGTTTGTATTGTTTTAGGTTTTGCATTTAACTCTTTGATTTTGCCTTAATTTTTGTATATGATGAAAGGAAGGGGTCCACTTTCAATCTTCTGCATACGGCTAGCCAATTATCCCAGCGCCATTTATTGAATAGGGAATCCTTTCCCCATTGTTTGTTATTGTCAGCTTTGTCAAATATCAGGTCGTTGTAGGTGTGTGGCTTTATCTCTAGGTTCTCTATCCTGTTCTATGGGTCTGTATGTCTGTTTTTGTACCAGTATCATCATGTTTTGGTACTGTAGCCTTGAAGTATAGTTTGAAGTCGAGTAGTGTGATACCTCTAGCTTTGCTCTTTTTGCTTACGATTGCTTTGGTGATTCGGGCTTGTTTTTGGTTCCATAGGAATTTTAAAATAGTTTTTTCTAATTATGTGAAAAGTATCATTGGCAGTTTGATAGAAATAGCATTGAATCTATAAATTGCTTTGGGCAGTGTGGCCATTTTATCAATATTAATTTTTACATTTGTTTGTATCATCTCTGATTTCTTTCACCAGCATTCTGTAATTCTCATTGTAGAGACTTGTTACCGTCTTGGTAAGCTGCATTTCTAGGTATTTTATTCTTTTGTGGCTATTGCAAATGAGACTGTGTTCTTGATTTGGCTCTGAGCTTGAACATTATTGGTGTATAGAAATGCTACTGATTTTTGAACACTGATTTTGTGTTCTGAAACTTTGCTGAAGTCATTTATCAGTTCTAGAATCCTTCTGGCAGAGTCTATGAGGTTTTCTAGGTATATAATCATACTGTCCGTGGAGAGAGATAGTTTGACTTGCTCTCTTCCTATTTGGATGCCCTTTATTTCCTTCTCTTGCCCAACTGCTTTGGCTAGGACTTCCGGTACTACTTTGAAATGAAGTGGTGAAATTGGACATCCTTGTCTTGTTCCAATTCTCAAGTGGAATGCTTACAGCTTTTGCCCATTCAGTATGATGTTGGCTGTGGCTTTGTCTTAGATGGCTCTTATTATTTTCAGGAATGCTCCTTTGATGCCCAATTTGTTGAGAGTTTTTAACATGAAGGGATGTTGAATTTTATTGAATGCCCTTTCTGTGCCTCTTGAGAAGATCATGTGGTTTTTGTTAATTCTGTTTATGTGATGAATTACATTTATTGATTCGTATATGTTCAACCAACCTTGCATCTTAGGAATAAAGCCTACTTGATCATAATAAATTAACTTTTTGATGTGCTGCTGTATTCAGTTTGCTAGTATTTTATTGAAGATTTTGTATCTCTGTTCATCAGTGATACCAGCCCAAAGTTTTCCTTTTTTTGGTGTGTCTCTGCCAGGCTTTGGTATCAAAATAATGCTGGCTTCATAGAATGAGTTAGGGAGGAGTCCCTCCTCCTCAATTTTTTGGAATAATTTCAGTAGGATTTCACATCTGGTACAATTCAGCTGTAAATACATCCGATCCAGGGCTTTTTCTTTTTAGTAGACTTTTTACTACTGATTCAATTTTGGAATTTATTGTTGGTCGATTCAGGATTTTAATTTCCTCTTGCTTCAATCTTGGGAAAGACTGATAGAATGTATTCATTTCAAGAATTTATTCATTTCTTCTAGTTTTTCAGTTTGGATGCATAGCAGTAATAGTCACTGATGGTTTTTTTTTTTTTTATTTCTGTGGGGTCGGTTGTAACGTCACCTTTGTTGTTTCTGTGTTTATTTGGATTTTCTCTCTTTTTGTTTCTTATTAATCTAGCTAGTGGTCTATCAATTGTGTTTAATCTTTTGAAGAACCAATTTTTGGTCCCATTGATCTTTTGTACAGATTTTTGTATCTCAATATATCATTCAGTTCAGCTCTGATTTTGATTATTTCTTCCTTATGATAGTTTTAGGGCTGGTTTGCTCTTGTTTTCTAGTTCCTCTAGGTGCAACATTAGGTTGTTAATTTGAGATTTTTCTAACTTTTTTTTTTGAGATGGAGTCTCCCTCTGTCACCCAGGCTGGAGTGCAGTGGCGTGATCTTGGCTCACTGCAAGCTCCGCCTCCCGGGTTCACACCATTCTCCTGCCTCAGCCTCCCAAGTAGCTGGGACTACAGGCACCCGCCGCCATACCTGGCTAATTTTTTGTATTTTTTTTAGTAGAGACAGGGTTTCACCGTGTTAGCCAGGATGGTCTCGATCTCCTGACCTCGTGATCTGCCCACCTCGGCCTCCCA